>NC_000009.12:100038733-100190248 GCF_000001405.40 Homo sapiens
AAGATCTGTTGCTTACAAAAAACACACTCTACCTCTAAAGACATACATAGACTGAAAATAAAGAAATGGAAAAAGATATTCCATGCCAATGGAAACCAAAAAAGAGCAAGATCACTATACTTATATCAGACAAAATAGATTTCAAGACAAAAACTATAAGAAGAGACAAAGAAGGTCACATATAATGACAAATGGGTCAATTCAGCAAGAGGATATAACAAATGTAAATACAATGCATATACATATGTAATGCATGTAATACAATGTAAATATATACGCACCCAACACTGGAACATCCAGATATATAAAGCAAGTATTATTATAGCTAAAGAGAGACCCCAACACAATAATAGCTGGAGACTTAAATACCCTACTTTCAGTCTTGGACAGATCTTCCAGACAGAAAATCAACAAGGAAACATCACAGTTAACCTGCACTATAAACCAAATGGACCTAACAGATATTTACAGAACATTTCATCCAATGGCTGCCGAATACACATTCTTTTCCTCATCACAAAGCTCATTCTCAAGGACAGACCACATGTTAGGTTACAAAACAAGTCTTAAAACGTTCAAAAAAATTGAAATTATCTCAAGCATCTCCTCTGATGACAATGGAATAAAACTAGAAATGGATAACAAGAGAAATCTTAGAAATTATACAATTACATGGAAATTAATATGCTCCTGAATGACCAGTGGTCAATGAAGAAATTAAGAAGGAAATTGAAAATTTTATTGAAACAAATAATAATGGAAATACAACATACCAAAACCTATGGGATTCAGCAAAAGTAGAACTAAGAGAGAAGTTTATGGCTACATCAAAAAATAAGAAAAAACTTCCAATAAATAACCTAATGATACCTCTTAAAGAATTAGAAAAGCAAGATCAAACCAAACCCAAAATTAGTAGAAGAAAAGAAATAATAAAGATCAGGACAGAAATAAATGAAATTGAATTGAAAAAGACAATACAAAAGCACAGGTAACAAAAAGTTGGTTTTTTGGTAAGTTTTACAAAATTGACAAACCTTTAGCCAGACTATGAAAAAAAGAGCGAAGACCTAAATAAATAACATCAGAAATGAAAAAGGAGACATCACAACTGATACCACAGAAATTCTAAGGATCATTAGCAGCTACTGTGTGCAACTATTTGCCAATAAATTGGAAAATCTAGAAGAAACTGACACATTCCTAGACACATACAACCTACCAAGATTGAGCCATGAAGAAATCCAAAACCTGAACCGACCAATAACAAATAATGAGATCGAAGCCATAATAAGAAAGCTTCTGGCAAAAAAAAAGCCCAGGACCTGATGGTTTCACTGCTGAATCCTCCCAAACATTTAAGGAAGAACTGATACCAATCCTACTCAAACTATTCCAAAAAACAAAGGAGGAGGGAATACTTCCAGACTTATTCTATGAGAACAGTATTATCCTGACACTAAAACCGGACAAAGGCACATCCACACAAGGAAAACTACAGGCCAATAAATATTGATGCAAAAATCCTCCACAAAATACCAGCAAACCAAATTCAACAGTACATTAGAAAGATCATTAATCATGACCAAGTGAGATTTATCTCTGGGATGTAAGGATGATGGTTCAACATATGCAGATCAATCAATGTGATACATTATATCAAGAAAATGAAGGATAAAAAACATATGATTATTTCAATTGATGCTGAAAAAGCATTTGATAAAATTCAACATTCCTTCATGATAAACACCCCCAAGGAACTTGCAGAGAAGGAACATATCTCAACTTAATGAAGACAATGTACAATAGACCCACAGCTAGTATCATACTGAATGGGGAAAAACTGAAAGCCTTTCCTCTAAGATTTGGAATACAAGGATGCCCACTGTCACTATTATTCAACATAGTACTGGAAGTCGTAGCTAGAGCAGTCAGATGAGAGAAAGATATAAAGGGAATCCAAATTAGAAAGGAAAAAGTCAAAATATCCTTGTTTGTAAATAATATGATCTTATATTTTGAAAAACCTAAAGACCACTAAAAAACTATAAGAACTGATAAACAAATTCAATAAAGTTGCAAGATACAAAATCAACTTACAAAAATCAGTAGCATTTTTATACGCTAACAGTGAACAATCTAAAAAAGAAATAAAAATGTAATCCCATTTACAATAGCTACAAATAAAATAAAATACCTAGGAATTAACCAAAGAAATGAAAGATCTCTACAATGATAATTATAAAACATCGATGGAAGAAACTGAAAGGGACAAAAAAAGGAAAGAAATTCTATGTTTATGGATTGGAAGAATCAATATTGTGAAAATGTTATTACTACCAAAAGCAATCTACCTATTCAATGCAATCCCTATCAAAATACCAATGACATTCTTCACAGAAATAGAAAAACAATCCTAAAGTTTATATGGAACCACAAAAGACGCAGAATAGCCAAAGTTATCTTAAGCAAAAAGAACAAAACTGGAGGAATCCCATCACCTGACTTCAAATTATACTACAGAGGTATAGTATTAGGTTGGCACAAAAGTAATTGCGGTTTTTTGCCATAAAAAAAAAAGGGCAAAAATCGCAATTACTTTTGCACCAACCTATAACCAAAACAGCATGATACTGGCATAAAGAACAGACACAGGCCAGGCGCAGTGGCTCACGCCTGTAATCTCAACACTTTGGGAGGCTGAGGCTGGTGGATCACGAGATCAAGAGATCGAGACCATCCTGGCCAACATGGTGAAACCCCATCTCTACCAAAAATACACTAATTAGTTGGGTATGGTGGCACGTGCCTGTAGTCCCAGTTACTTGGGAGGCTGAGGCAGAAGAATCACTTGAACCTGGGAGGTGGAGGTTGCAGTGAGCCGAGATTGCGCCACTGCACTCCAGCCCCGCGACAGAGCAAGATTCCGACTCAAAACAACAACAACAACAACAACAATAAACAAACAAAAAACAGACAGATATATCAGTGCAACAGAAAATCCAGAAATAAATCCATATATCTACAGTGAACACATTTTTGACAAAGGTTCCAAGAACACACACTGGGGAAAGGACAGTCTCTTCAATAAATGGTACTGGAAGAACTGGATATCCATATGCAGAAGAATGAAACTAGACCCCTATCTCTTGCCATACACAAAAAATCAAATCAAAATGGATTAACGACTTAAATCTCAGACTTCAAACTATGAAACTACTACAAGAAAACATTGGGGAAACTCTCCAGGACACTGGAGTGGGCAAAGACTTCTTGAGCAATCTCCGATAGGCACAGGCAACCAAAGTAAATAAATGGACAAATGGGATCACATCAAGTTAAAAAGCTTTCGCACAGCAAAGGAAACAATCAACAAAGTGAAAAGACAACCCACATAACTGGAGAAAATATTTGCCAACTATCCATCTGACAAGGGATTAATAATGAAAATATATAGGGAACTCAAACAACTCTATACTCAAAAATGTAATAATCTGATTAAATAATAAGCAAAATATTTGAATAGACATTTCTCAAATGAAAACATACAAATGGGAAACAGGTATATAAAAACGTGCACAACATCACTGATCGTCAAAGAAATGCAAATCAAAACTACAATGAGATACTATCTCACCCCAGTTAATATAGCTTTCATTCAAAAGACAGGCAATCAAATGCTGACGAGTATAAGGTGAAAAGAGAACCCTCTTGCACTGTTGGTAGGAATGTATATTAGTACAATCGCTATGGAGAACAGTTTGGAGGTGACTCAAAAAAAGTAAAAATAGAACGACCATATGATCCCATGATCCCAATGCTAGGTATACACCCAAAGGAAAGGAAATCAGTATATGCAAGAGACATTTGCACTCCCATGTTCATTGCAGCACTATTCAGAACAGGCTAGATTTGGAAGCAACCTAAGTGTCCATTGACAAACAAATGGATAGAGAAAATGTGGTACATACACATAATGGAGTATTACTAATCCATAAAAAAAAGAATGAGATCCTGTCACTTGCAACAACATGGATGGAACTGGAGGTTACTAGGTTAAGTGAAATAAGCCAGGCACAGGAAAACATTGCATGTTCTCACTTAACTGTGGGAGCTAAAACTTAAAACAACTGAACTCATGGAGATAGAGCATAGAAGGATGGTTACCAAAGGGTGGAAAGGGTAGTCGAGGGTCAGGGAGGGATGGTGAATGGGTACAAAAAAGTAGTTTGAAAGAATCAATAGGCCGGGCGCAGTGGCTCATGCCTGTAATCCCAGCACTTTGGGAGGCCGAAGCGGGCGAATCATGAGGTCAGGAAATCGAGACCATCCTGGCTAACATGGTGAAACCCAGTCTCTACTAAAAATACAAAAAATTAGCCAGGCATGGTGGCGGGCACCTGTAGTCCCAGCTACTCAGGAGGCTGAGGCAGGAGAATGGCCTGAACCTAGGAGGTGGAGCTTGCAGTGAGCCGAGATAGCGCCACTGCACTCCAGCCTGGGCAACAGAGCGAGACTCTGTCTCAAAAAAAAAAAAAAAAAAAAAAAAAAAAAAAAAGATAAATAAGACATAGTATTTGCTAGCACAACAGGGTGACTATAGTAGAAACTAATTTAATTGTACTTTTAAAAATAACTTAAACCGTATGATTCGATCTCAATCGTTTTAAAGACAAAGGATAAATGCTTGAAGTCATGGATACCCTGATGTGACTATTACGGACTTCAAAATATCTTTTGGCCTGGCGCAGTGGCTCACGCCTGTAGTCCCAGAACTTTGGGAGGCTGAGGCGGGTGGATCACTTGAGGTCAGGAGTTCGAGACCAGCCTGGCCAACATGGTGAGACCCTGTCTCTACTAAATCTACAAAAATTAGCTGGCCGTGGTGGCGCACACCTGTAATCCCAGCTACTCAAGTGGCTGAGGCACAAGAATCGCTTGACCACTGGAGGCAGAAGTTGCAGTGAGCTGAGAACGCGCCACTGTACTCCAGCCTGGGAGACAGAGCAAGACTCTGTCTCAAACAGAAAAAAAAAAAATTCTTGTAATCCATAAAAATATACACCCTACTATGTATCTACAAAAGTTAGATAAAAATAAATTACCTCTAGACAGGAGAAATAAGTTCTAGTGTTGTTCTACAGCACTGTAGGGTGACTGTAGTTAATAATAATTTATTGTATATTTTTGAGTACTAGAAGAGAGGATTATCCTGATGTAACCATTAAACATTATATACATGTATTCAAATATTACTCTGTATCTCATAAATGTTTATCACATATGAATTAAAAATATAACTGATAAGAAAGCTTTGTGTTGTAGTTCATTTTTTCTTTTGTACATAAAATTTTGCCTTACGATCAATGATGAGTTAGACTGGGTATAAACTATGGCAGTATTTATTTCATTTTTGGAAAATAATGATAACTGTAGTGCCTACAAAACAGTTCATAAGTGCTGGTACTGTTTACTATTCATTTATCTATCCATCTGTTCAACAATTACAACTGAACACCTACTATGTGCTAGATACCATTCCAGTGCTAGGAATAGAAAGGTAAAAACATAAGGTCTCTACTCTCATAGAGCCATTTTATCATTATTATTGTCATTATTAACATCACTGCTGCTGCTGCTACTACTAGTTGTTTCCATAGGCTAGAATATTAAATGAAATTCTTTTTTTTTTTAATGGACAGAACAGTATGAACATATTAAACGAAATTCTTAAATGAATGAAAATGAAAAACTCAGGACAACCACACAGAGAACTGTGGGTCAGTTTCTAGAAGCCATCAAGTAGCTCAACTCCAAGCATTCCTCAAAATGCTGGCAAAAGCCTATTCAAAGAAAGTTTTTAAAAATTCAATAATTGTGTTGAAGGTCATTTATTACAGTGAAAATAAGCAAATTACAATTAACAATATCACAATACTCTGTATACTGCAGATTTCTAGCTTCTTACACATACTTTTTCAAAAACTCCAAGGAAGTAAGGCGCTCCTAGCTTTTTCCTTAATCAATGACAAACTACAGGTTCAGGACTTTTAAAATACCAAGTTTCTAAAAATTTGTAAAATTTCAAACTTACCAAAAAATTGCAATTGCATTTTTATTTATATAATGACCCATTATAGACTATTTAAACAGACTATTTTATAACCTGTAATAGGACATTTTAAGTTGTTTTTATTCAGAAATGGGCGAATTCTCCATTTCTATGGGGAATTCAATTTAAATTACTTTATTTTGACTTTCAAATAGCATAGTTAACTGATAAAAGCTGTATCGTCCTGGGTTCCAGTCTGGCTCCCTCCATTTACTATGCAACCTTGGGAAATAACTTAGCCTCTCTGTATCTTTCAGCCTCTTCATCAGTAAAATGGTAACACAGTCCAACTCTCTGAAAGGTCAGTGCTCTCTCCTACCTCAGAAACTTCACATCTACTGCTACTTCCATCTAAAACACTCTTCTTCCACTACTTCACTTGAAAATTCCTACTCTTCCTTCACTTTTTTTAATCATTTCCTCGAAAACGTCTTCCCTATCCCTGCAGACTAAGTCAGACTCATCATTTTGTAGCATTCAATACCTTCCCGTCAGAATAGATATCACAATTTGCGATTGTGTATTGTACTCTCTTGCCTTTCTGGGTGTGTTTGGTTCATTGCTGTAGCTATAGAACCTTCCACATAGCATTACATAAGGTAGGCATAAATTTTTTTGTTGTTAAATGAATAATACTACTTAACTAGAGGTGTAATGCGTCGTGGTAAAGATAACTAAAATATCCGAAAGAACATGTCTAAAATCAAGTAAGCACTCAATAAGTAGTAGGGTTTTTTCCCAGGCAATTTGACTAGAAACTTTTTACAGGAACTTTTCCAAGAAATAATACTGTGACTTTGGATAAAAGGTCTCAGTGAAGCAGTGAGTTGGAAGCAAGGCAGACAGACTAAAGTACTCAAGGGCAGGACAGAGTAGGCTAACATAATACCAGACAGGTGATTGATACAAACAAGACATACGTGGGCATGATGATATCTTGATTCTGAGGCCACCTTCTGTCCTTGCTAGGAAGCTTCTTACAGATCTTCTGCCTAACAAAAACTAATCCTAAAGCAACAAGTAGGTACACTTGGTTGGAAAGAATACTGTAAGGAAATACAGACCACAAGAATTAAAGCTTTTAATTTGCAAAAAAAACCTAATTGTCTAAGTAGAAAATCTATGGACTGTATTTATAAAACTTATTGGAGCTAATAAGTTTTAGTATATAGGGTCAATATAAAAAATCAATCTTATTTCTATAAACTAGCAACAAAAAAACTAAAAATTAAAATTTAACAATCAATGCCATTTATAACAGCACCCCAAAATAAGAAATACTTACTGAGAGATCTCACAAAAGATGACCAAAACATGAGAAAAAAAATACCAGGCAAGCCCAAAATGAAGGACATTCTACAAAATTCTTAAAGAATATTACTCAAAACTGTCAAGGTTGTAAAAAATGAAGACTGAGAAACAAATAGATCAAAGGTAACCAGGAAGACATTATGCCTAAAAGTGATACTCTAGAACAACAACAACAAAAAGATATTAAGTGGAAGAGGGATAAAATCCAAATAAAATCCAAATGTGCCATAGTAATATAAGATGTTGATGTTAGGGCAAAATAGGTAAGGAATATAAGGGAATTCTCTGTATTATTTTTGCAACTATAATCTACATATGATCTACAATTATTCCAGAAATAAAGTTTAAAGTATCATTTACAATAGCATCAAAAAAATAAGAAATACTTAGGAATAAATCTGATAAAGCTATCCAAGACATGTAGGCTGAAAAACCACAAAGCATTGCTGGAAGAAACTGAAAATGCCTAAATAAATGGAGAGATATACAATCTTCATGGATTCGAAGAATCAGTATCATTAAAATAACAATTTCCCACAAATTGCCCTGAGGATTCAAAGTAACCCCAGTTAAAATCCCAGTCGCCTTTTATGTTGTCATTAAAAATTAACAAGCTGATTCTAAAAGTTAAATGGAAATCTAAATCAACCAGAACTGCCAAACAACTCTGAAAAAAAAGTACAAAGTTGAAAGCTTTACCTGACCAGACTTCAAAACTCTTTATAAGCTATAGTAATCTACGAAGTACTGGTATAAGCACAAACAGATCAACAGTATAGAAGAGACAGAACAAAAATAGACCCACACATACAGTGTCAGTTTATTTCAGCAAGATGCAATGACAGTGAAGAAAGGATAGTCTTTTCAACAAATAATGCCAGAACCATATGCAAACAATTGAACTCCAATTCATACACTATGCCACATGTAAAAATTAATTCCAAATGGATCACAGACATAAGTATAAACCTTCATACTACCACATTTATAAAAGAAAACATAGCAGAAAATCTTTGTGATCCTGTGTGAGGCAAAGACTTCTTAGATACAACATCAAAACTATAATCCATTTTAAAAACTGACAGTAAGACTGCACCAACATTAAGAACATCTTCTCTTCAAAAGACACTCAAGTTGGAGGTCTCATACTTCCTGATTTCAAAACATACTGCAAGACTACAGTAATCAAAAAGTGTGGAACTGGCATAAAACAGACATACAGACCATGGTACAGAGTCCAGAAATAACCCCTCAAATATATAGTAAAATGATTTTTGATGAGGATGCCAAGGCCATTCAATGGGGAAAGAACAGGCTCTTCAATAAATGATGCTGGAAAACCTAGAAGTACACATGCAAAATAATAAAGTTGGGCCCTTACCTTGTTCCATACACAAAAATTAACTCAAAATAAATGAAAGACCTGAATATAAGACCTAACACTCTTAAACTCTCTAAACACTCTAAAACTCTTAGAAGAAAACATAGGAGAGTAAAGCTTCATGACATTAGATTGCAATTATATCTTGGATATAACATCTAAAGCACAGTCAACCAATGTAAAAATACATAAGATAGACCACATTACCATCAAAAATTTCTATGACTCAAAGGACACAATTAACAGAGTGAAAAGGCAACCTATAGAACAGGAGAATTTATTTGCAAATCATATATATGAGGGGTGAATATCTAGAATATACAAAGAACTCCTACAACTCAACATCAACAACAAAAACCCAAATAACCTGATTTTAAAATGGGCAAAGGAGTTGAATAAATATTTCTCCAAGGAAGATATACAAATGACCAATAAGCATGTGAAAAAATACTGAACATCACTAATTATTAGGGAAATGCAAACCAACACAATGAGATACCATCTCACACCCATTAGTATGGCTGCTATAAACAAACAAACGAACAAAAACAGAAAATAGAGCCCACAGAGTCACACACACCGTAGTCCCAGCTACTCAGGAGGCTGAGTGGGAGGATCCCTTGAGCCCAGGAGTTGGGTGGGTGGAGGGGGGAGGGATAGCATTAGGAGATATACCTAATGCTAAATGACGAGTTAATGGGTGCAGCACACCAACATGGCACATTTATACATATGTTAACAAACCTGCACGTTGTGCACATGTACCCTAAAACTTAAAGTATAATAATAATAAAATTTAAAAAAAATAAAAACAACAACAAAGAGAAAATAAGAGTGCAGGTGAGGGTGTGGAGAAACTGCAACCCTTAGGTACTCCTAATGAAAATGTAAAATGATACAGCTGCTGTGAAAGATGGTATGATGTTTCTTCAAAAAATTAAAAACTACCATATGATCTAGCAATTCCACTCCTGGATATATATTAAAAAAAAACTGGGAACTTTCTTTAAAGGTCTCAAAGAGATATTAGTACACTCATGTTCATAGCACCATTATTCACAATAGCCAAGGGGCAGAATCAACCAGTGTTCTTGATGGATGATAAACAAATCGTGGTATATACATACCACGAAATATTATTCAGCCTTAAAAAGTAGGGAAATTCTGACGCATGCTACAACACGAATGAGCCTTGCGGACATTATGCTAAGTGAAATATGCCAGTCACAAAAAGACAGATACTGTATGATTCCACTTATGTGGAGTACCCAGAGTAATCGCATTTGTAGAAAAAGAAGGTAGAAAAGTGGTTGCCAGGGGCTGGGGAGAATGGGCAATGGGAAGCTGTTGTTTAACGGGTGTAGAGCTTCAGTTTTGCAAGATGAAGAACTGGAGACTGGTTGCACAACAATGTGAATACATTTAACAGTATTAAATTGTACAATTTAAAATGGTAAGATAGTAATTTTATGTATATGTTACAATTTTTTTAAAAAAATACAAGGGTAGAATGGGCGAAAATATTTGCAAATTACATATGTGAAAAAAGACTTGTATTCACAATATATAAAGAACTCTCAAAACTCAGAGGGCAGGGCACAGTGGCTCATGCTTGTAATCCCAGCACTTTCAGAAGCCGAGGAGGAACAATCACTTTAGCCCAGGAGTTTGAGACCAGCCTGGGCAACATAAGGAGACCTGTCTCTAAAAATATTTTTTTAAATTAGCTGGGTGTGGTGGCACATGCTACTTGGGGGGCTGTGGTGGAAAGGCCACTGGGGCCTGGAAGGTCCGAGACTGCAGTGAGCCAAGATTGTGCCACTGCACTACAGCCTGGGCGAGACAGTGAGACCCTGTCGCAAACAAATAAATAAACAAATTTCAATAAGAAAATAAACAATCCAATAAAAAATGTGTAATATTTGAACAGACACATCATCACAGATACATGAATGTATATAAACATGTAAGAATATTCTCAACGTCATTAATTATTAGAAAAATGCAAATTAAACCACAAGGAGACACCACTTCACACATATTGGAATATGTAAAATTAAATAGACTATCCACTCCAAGTTTTGACAAGAATATGGAACAACTGGAACTCTCATGTACTATTAGTGGGTATATAAAATAGAACAAATACTTTGGAAAATAGTTTGGCAGTTTCTTAAAAAGTTAAACATGGACCTACCATATGACCTAGCATTTCACATCTAGGTATTTGCTCAGGAAAAATGAAAACATATGTATAAAGATTTATATCTGAATGTTTATAACAGCTTTATTTGTAATCCTTATTTGTATAAAGATTTATATCTGAATGTTCATAACAGCTTTACTTGTAATAGCCAGCAAGTCGAAACAACCCAAATGTCTGTCAGGAAGTGAACAGATAAACAAATTGTGGTATATAGCCACACAATAGAATGCCACTAAATAATAAGAAATAATATATGCAACATGAAACAATCTCAAAATAAACATACTAAGTCCAGAAAAAAAAAAAAACCCAGACAAAAAAAACCTCATACTGTATGATTCACTTATATAAAATTCTAGAAAATGCAAACCAATCTCCAGTGATGGAAAGTAGATGGTCCTTAAGGATGATGAAGGTGAGGTATAGAAGGGACAGACAGGGATCACAGAGGGGCACAAGGAAAATTTTGGAGGATGACAGCTATGCTCAATATCTTGATTGTGGTGATGGTTTCATGGATACACACATGTATCAAAACCTATAAAATTATAAAATTTAAATTTGTGTAACATATGTCAATTATACCTCAATAAATCTCTTTTAAAAACTGCTTTAGGATTGAACAATCTATTTTTCAAAGCACTGATACGTATATCAGTATATAAATTAAAGTTGTTTAAATGGTTAGGAAAAAAAAAAATTCGACCACAGAATAATCTGCCTAAAAGGCATTTCTCTTTAGAACACAGAATTCTTAAGGTTCTTCCAGTCCAAAACCTCTACAATCTAATTGGCACATAAGAGGTTAACAAAACTACAGTTTGTCTTACAATCTCTAAAGAGACTGTGGAAAATGTAAATACATTAATCAATAAGGGTTTCATAACAATCATTTCTTTAAAAGAATTACATAGAAGAGAAAAAATATTCAGAGAGATGCATAATACCTCAAAATATGCATAATACCTCAGATAACTTGCTGGTGGATTGAAAAGCATCTGAACTGTGCTATTTGCCCCCATAAAAAGAAAGCTTACTAGCAATGATGTCAGATTTTCTTCAAAAGTTATCTGTTTAAAAGATGGAATAAATGATATTTATGGTTCAAGGATATAAGTATTAAATTTTCTTCCCAATGAATGTAAGCTTTAGAGCATAATTTCCAATTTTATGGTTCAAATTCAGTAAAAGTAGGAAGTCTTATCTGCACTGTAACATCTAATTAAATACATAAAGAATAGAAAGATTTGAAATGAGAACCCACACCAAAAACATCATGTTCTCTGTCAGCGAAAGGTCGGAGAAAAGATCTGGGAAGCAGTGTGAAAATGTAGCCCATGCCTGTACTGACAACCTTTTATTGCTCCCTTCACCCTATCTAGTTATGAATTTCAGCAGACAGAAATATGGGGTGGGGCTCAGAAGACTGTGAAATGATTTACTATTGGAAAATGCCTTGCTGCCTAGCGCAAAGCTATACCAATAACTCCCCAAAATGTTTGAACAGAAAAGAGCAAATGAAGGCATTTGGTCAGAAAATCAGGATTCAAATTCGGGCTTTACCAGACACTGAGCTATGTAACATTGATTAAGCCACTTCATATCCATTTCCTCATCAGTAAAATGAAAAGTTAGGTGTGTGTACACACATACTAATTTTAATCAGTAGGTTAAGTATAAAAAAATAGAAAACTTGAAGAATGGGAGACAGTTCTGTATTCACACCAACTTACAAATAACTCAATGCAATAGCTTTTCGTGAGCAGTCTCTGTCTCCCAGCAACTGTCAGATGCTTGAGACACAGAGATTAATAAGTGGTTTGGTCTCCTCTTAAAAGTGAGCATTAAAAAAAGAAAGAAAAAAAAATTCCTGCCTTAATGAACAGACAATGCAGCTGATAAGACAACTAAGACACAATGAACCAGAACTACGAAATACAATGAGTTTAGCACGATGAGAGAGGAAAGTTCAAGTATAATGGGAACACACAGGAGGAAACACCACTAGCAAGATCACTAGTTCAAGTTAGACAAATCCTTCATGTATACGAAAAACCATGAGGATTTTATAGAGAATGCTCCACCAGGACAAGCAAAATGCAAGAGGTTGGATTTTAAGAGCCTAAGCTAAGTTTCTTAACACTCTTAATAATTATAATCAGTTGCTACAGCTAATTAGACTCAAAAATAGTCTAAACCAGAATCTTTTCAAAACAGAATCTTTTCAAAAACAGAAACACACAAAAATCTGAGACTATCTTATTTGAAATGACTATAAATGGTATTTTCACATGATTCTAAAACTAACAGAAATCCATTTTTTCTTCTAATACTACATTTCAATCTTATTTACTGATTTTGGTATTTGCTTTGGTAGAAAACACTGCTAGTTTTGTTCCCTACGCTTGACCTACTGTAATTTTTTAAATAACAACAAAAAAACCTTCACACAAGCAAAATGGAAAGTAGTGTTCTAAGTACATAAAAATTAAATAGTAACAATTTAACCAAGGTCACTAGAACCTTTTCGGTTTGTTCTCCACTTAAAAGCAGAGCATTTAAAAAAAAAAAGAAAAGGAAAAAAAAAGAAAAGAAAAGAAAAGAAAAAATGTGTATGTGTGCCTGTGTTTGGGATGGGACAGTCTCTTCTAGACTTCCTATTGAGGTACTTACAGTGCTGATCACAATCAACTCTGGCAAACACTACTTGATTTTCATTTGGAAATTCTTCCTTAATGACATCGGAAGCTTCCTCAAAAATTGGATGCAACATCTGACTGAAACGACACCTATACACAGAGAAGGATGCCAATTAGAAATGAAAAGCAGAAGTAATAAAATCTTATTTCCGTTATTGCCCACTGACATTTGATATAGGCATAATAAACGACTCTGCGAGATAATCACACACTTAATTTAATCATGGACCCTGACATCGTTCAATGGAGATGAAGACAATTTTAAGTTCAAAGACTGTATACCAATTCTAAGAATGTATAATAGATTTTGGTTTTATTCATCTTAAGACAATTGCCAGTATTATGGAGCACACAGCTAAGGATCTCTTGCAGAGGTCATAAAACAAGTCTGAAATAAGCCCTCTACAAAGTACTGTTAGGATTTGTAACTACTGAGGCTTGAACATTTATGAAAAATTAGCTTTCTCTATTTTATTTATTTTTAATTTTTTTTGAGACAGGGTCTCATTCTGTTGCCCAAGTTGGAGGGCAGGGGCACAATCTGAGCTCACTGCACCCTCCACCTCCAGGGCTCAAGCAATCCTCCCACCTCAAAATAATAAAATTTTAGACTATTGTGTAAAATATTTTAACTGTATTGCAAATATTAGACCTCTCCACCTGGCTAGTTCTATCAAATCTCACAGGCAAGTTAACACACTAAATAAATAAGTTATATTAAAAGAATATATGGTATATAATTAACTATTTCCCCTCAAAATTTACCCCTTGATAAAATGGGCTTTTATATCTGTAAACATACTAAATACAGTAAGTCCAGAAGCAAATATCTTAAATTCCTAACCAAGACTTCCTGTCTATATTTTCTTTTTTCTTTTACTTTAAACACAAGGCACAAACCCCCACAATATTCTACAAACTTGTTACTTCTAACTGTCCCTTAATCAAGCCAAACATTTCACAAATACAGTCATGTGGTGTTTAACGACAGGGATACACTCAGAAATACACCATTAGGCGATTTCTTCATTACGTGAACATCATAAAGTATACTTACACAAACCTAGATGGTATAGCCTAGCATGCACCTACACTATAGGGTATACAGCCTCCTACTGCTCCTAGGCTACAAACCTGTACCACATGTTAATATACTAAATACTGTAGGCAACTGTAACACAATAGCAGGTATCTAAACACAGAAAAGTTACAGTAAAAATACGGTATTATATATGGGACTTCTGTCATTGACCTAAACATCATGTCATGGATGACTATGTTCTAGGTAATTAAAGGGACCCAATAAGAAGGGGAAGAATCAGAATTAGCAACCAGCTGGGTTAGAATGGCCATTCTCTTACGGAAGAAGTATTAAGAATATGTAAACAAACTACAATTGCTACTGTTGCTTCCAGAGCCCTTTTCCACCAAATTTACTTAAATGATGTCAGTGAACAGTTTAATCCACATGTAATTAGTTCATACATATTAGCTTTAATACAATAAAAATATTGGAAAGCCTGTGAAAGGATGCAAACATTATACTTCCTCCCTATTTCTTCTTGTATATATATATCTCTTCTAGCCCACTCACCTGACTTCCTAAGGAGATGTCCTAGAATATATCAAGGAGACACATCTGTATCTTCAATCTCTTGCTTTCAAGTGGCTCTTTCCTCTTTTAGCATTCTTAAATCTCTCCCATCAGGGATAAGAGGATGGGGTCTGTGGACATCATGGACCGTGTCTTATTTGACTATGTATTCTAATAAACATTCAATATATGTATTAAATCAATAAATTGATAGAATGGAGGAACTGGAGCGGCTAGGACCGCAGGTTTGTGGGTTCTTACAGTTCGCTGAAAATAAGGTAGCTGGAGGGCAAGGGAGGCAAGGAGTAGGGGCTGATTAATGGTTTCTTGAAAAATTTAGATCTGACCTAGTGAAGAAAGAGCGGGCAAGCCTCTTTATGGCTTAAGGGCGACGTAAAAAAACACATCAAGGGCTTCTTTTCTCTAGATTGTCCAGTTTGCCACTCATTAAGTATTTAAGCATGGTTCATGTTTAAAATAGGACCTGTCTTAATACAGGTTGAATGCCCCTAATCTAAAAATTCAAAATGCTTCAAAATCTAAAACTGTTTGAGCACTGACAAGATGCTCAAAGGAAATGCACATTGAAGCATTTTGGATTTCGTATTTTTGGGGTTAGGGATGTTGAACCAGTAAGTATAAGGCAAACATTACCAAATCTGAAAAAATCCAAAAACTGAAACACTTCTGGTCTCAAGTATTTCAGATAAGGGATACTCAACCTGTACCAAAAGACGAAAAGGGAAAATGAAATAAAAGTTCAATTCCATAATTACTGTACCTTCATACATGTGTATCCATACACATGGAAATGTTACATTTATAAAAGGAACATCACAAAAGCAATGGATCTATTAAAAGGGCCTAAGGGTCATCTAAACCTAATCTTCCATCTAGTGCTTAAATCAATCCTTAACAAATCTACCAAATAGATAAGTCTTTGCAGAGACATTTTGAGGGCACTTACTAATATGATCTAGTTAGAGAAAAAAATAAGCTTTGCAGTTAGGCATACCTGAATTTAAATCCCAGTTCCACCACTTACTAGCCATATGACCCTTCTGAGCCTCAATTCCTCAACCTAAAAGGAAATTATAATACCTACCTACAGAGTAGTTCTGAGCATTAAAAAAAACCTATGTAAAGAGTCTGGATGGGGATGGTTAATGAGTACAAAAATATAGTTAGAATGAATAAGATCTAGCAGGATGACTAAACAGAAATGTATTGTACATTTTTAAATAACTAAAAGAGTAAAACTGGAATGTTTGTAACAAAAATGATGAATCCTTGAATTAATGAATACTCCATTTACCCTGATGTGTGTTTTTTTTGTTTGTTTTTGTTTTTGTTTGAGACGGAGTCTCGCTCTGTCACTCAGGCTGGAGTGCAACCGTGTGATCTCAGCTCACCGCAACCTCCGCCTGCTGGCTTCAAGCAATTCTCCTGCCTCAGCCTCCCAAGTAGCTGGGATTACAGGTGCCTGCCACGTCCGGCTAATTTTTTGTATTTTTAGTAAAGACGGGGTTTCACCATGTTCGTCAGGCTAGTCTGGAACTCCTGACCTCAGGTGACCTGCCCGCCTCGGCCTTCCAAAGTGCTGGGATTACAGGCGTGAGCCACTGTGCCCAGCCATGTGATTATCCTACTTTGTACACCTCTATCAAAATATCTCATGTGCCCCATAAATATATATACCTACTATGTTCCCATAAATATTAGGTAATTTTTAAAAAATAGTCTGGCACAAAACAGCATTATTAACCACCTACTACAGTATTACTCAAGGAGCTGCAGTATTTTTAAGCACCTCTATTACAGAATTATTAAACTGTGCCACATCCATAACTTCCAGAATGAACTCAGAGTCTAGACTTTGAGGCCACATAGTATTAAGTCTATGTCTTACAGCCAATTACCCAAGCTTTTTCAGCCATATAAAAGAGTATTAATTCATCAACAACTTAAGGTATTCTTTAGGTAATGTTTTCCCAAATAACTCAGTCCATGTTTCCAATTCAGTTTTTTCAAAAGATCAGCAGCACATTCTATTACCCTTTCTTGCAACACACAAAATCTCTCAGTCAGGAGAAAGTCGTTCTAGTTTTTCTTCAGACATCATCTAGTTGGGTAACCTTGGGAAAGTACTTCAATCCCCTGGATCTCAGTTTTCTTATTTTAAAATGGATTGGACTACATAATCTTCTACCAAATTTTTTGGCTATTAATACATCTTGACAACCCTAATTTACTTTGAAAAATGCTACCTTTGAGACATATTTTATAAACAGCATTTTCTCTGTGTATCTTCAACTTTTTACTAAAGTTCTTTAAATAATCATACCATATATACATTCATTCAGTAGACATTATGTACTTATCAGCCACATTTTAAGCAAAGTGCTTGGGGATTAAAGTTGAAAATAAAACTATGGTATGTATTCTCACAGAGCAAACAATGTAGTAGAGAGTCACCAACTAGGATTATAGCCTACAAGTGTTATGATTGGGTAAGTATGGGTGTTACCGGAAATAACAGAAGGGCTCCTAATCAGAGTCAAGAGTAGGGGTAGGTGTATTGATCCAGGAAGATAACCTGAAGAAAATGGCATCTAATCTAAGACTTGAAAGATTAGAACTTAACTAAGTAAAGAAGTGGGCGACAGAAGAATGATCCATCCAGGCAGGGGAAATATCATGCCTCACAGTCCAGTGATGAAATACAGAATTTTATAGGAATTGAAAGAAGTTTAGTATAACTGGAGCAGAATGTGGAAGTGGAGAGAGGCCAGACATAACAGCTACAGAGGGAATAAGAGACCAGTTCATAAGGGGCCTTCTGGGTCAAAGTAAAGGATTTAAACTTTAACCCAAAGGTAATGGAAACATTTTAAGGGCTTTAAGAAGGGGTATAAACTAATCTTATTTACACTGTAAGAAAGATAACTCTGGCTTACATTGTAGAGAACAGAATGGAGATACGTAAGACTAGAGGCACAGAAAAGAAATGAGGAGACTGTAGCATGAATTTTAAGTAAATGACAGGACTGTGGCCTGGAGTATGGTAGTGACAGCCAGTAGGTAGTAAGCCTTAAAGGGTCAGATAAGATACAGAGTGTCTAGGGATAAAGACTATGCTGAATCTTTCCAGCTAAATCTCCCTTGTGTTTCAGAATCTTTCCAGCTGAATCTCCCTTCTTCCTATCTCCATGCCATATTCTGTAACATCTACTATATACCATGTTGTTCTAGATGCTGGGAATACTGAGTATGCCATTATCTCTGCCCTCAAAGTTTGTTTGCTAGGGCACAAACAAGAAAAGACAAAACATTTAGTAAGAAAAAGAAAGTGGTACATAGGGTACTGTATAAACACAAAAGACAGAGGCAGCAGATTCTATAAATTTAAAAATGTCAACATTATTTTTCCTTCTAAACTTGACATACCCAAATCATGACTTATAAACACTACCCTTCTTCCACAGTCAGGACAAATACGGAATTGCAATATGTGTTCCCTTTGAGTCGGGGGTGGAGAGAGTCATATTTGAGTTATATGTTACTTGTTTTAAGATATAAGATAACAGAATCAGCTCTATTTCTTTCTTAAAACAGAAATCCTTACCAAATTAAACTACTTCCCTTGTGGATGAAACTTAATTGACTTTATGTATGGAATACTGTCTTGAAATAGAAAAAGCCTTCCCTTCCCCTTTCTAGCAAAGAAAAATTAACCTTTAGCAAGTAAAAACAAAACCAAACCCAAACAATAAGATTACTTACCAGTCAGCATAAAAATTTACTAAAGCAACATCAGCATTGTCTGAAATTGAAAGACAAAACCAAATAAGATATTTGTAATAATTTTGACATAATTAAACATACAGTTTCATTATGATCTTTGTCCAATATAAGGGTCCACTTAAAAAAACACAGTAACTATTATCTCTCACTCAGAAACCTAGAGTCATGGACAGCTTATATAATTTATGGGAAACTTTGTCTCTTTTCTCTGTATGCTTTATCTTTATAAGTTCACTGTATCTTTTATTTTATGGAGACTGGGTCTCACTCTATTGCCCAGGCTAGAGTGCAGTGGCATGATCAAAACCCAGTGCAGCCTCAAACTCCTGGGTTGACGTGATCCTCCCACTTCACCCTCCCAAGTAGCTAGGACTACAGGCAAACACCACCACACCTGGCTAATTTTTGTATTTTTTTGTAGAGACAGGATCTGGTTATATTGCCCAGGCTGGTCTCGAACTCCTGGCCTCAAGCAACCTCCCACCTTAACCTTCCAAAGTGCTGGGATTACAGGCATGAGCCATCACACCGGGCTTCCTTCGTTGCATCTTAAATGAATTTAAAGCAAATGTGAAATAAAGTCCAGATAAGGCAAGTAAGCTACGATCATAAAAAGTAAAGTGGAATGATCTGTATTTTATTTTTTGATCTTCCATATTCATGAATAACTGAGAATTAGTTCTGCAAATAAAATCCCACATCACAGAAAAGACCTGTATAACTAAGTTATTTTTAAACCTCACATATACCACCTAGTTGCAACAAGTAATCTACAACTAATAGTGTTGCACAAGACGCCAGTTTTTTAATTCCTATCCATTTAAGTTATTCCCCCCTACAAAAATAACAGCATCATTTGCACATCAAGATGTAAAGACATGAGAAAGATGTAGTGCTTTTTGCCTATCCCTAATTCAGAGAAACGTAAAGTCCTCAAGCACTCATGAAAATAAAACACAAAGATATTCTAGAATTGGAAAGATGACAGAAGTGAGAATGACATGTGAGTTTCAATTCCTTTCTTCCCTTTTTACCTTCAAGTTACTTTTTATATACTTGCTTATTCGCTCTAAAGCAGTGGTTCACAAACTGTGGTTCCTGGACCAGAAACACCAACATCACCTGGGAACTCACAGAAATGTAAATCCTTAAGAAATGCAAATCTTTAGGTAGGGGTCTAGCAGTTTCCTAGCAGTATAGATATTAATAAGTGTTCCAGGTGGTTCTGATACATGCTAAAGTTCATGGAACCACTCCTCTAAAGAGACTCCATAAGACAGGAATAGACTTTTAGCATTTAAAGGTCCAGGAACATAATATATTACACTCAATGAATGTTGTAACTCCTTTTGCCTCTATTATATGTGTCAGATGGAGGATTAAAAAAAGAAATCATTTATGCACACTGTACATTTTCTTAAAGCTCCTAAGTTACGATTTTCTATCAACCACATCTTCACCTTTCCTTTACTATTTTTAAAAAACAAGAAATGGTTTCTCTCAAGTTAATTATATCCACAACCACATTGTCAGCAAACAAACCATTCAGTAAAAAACTTATTAGGCCAAGTGTGGTGGTTCATGCCTGTAAACCCAGCACTTTGGGAGGCCAAGATGAGAGGACTGCTTGAGGTCAGGAATTCAAGACCAGCCTGGGCAACATAGCAAGACCATGTCTCTACAAGAAAAATTTAAAATTAGCTACGTGCAGTGGAGCCCACCTGTAGTCCTAGCTAACTTGGAAGGTTGAGGAAAGAGGATTGCTTGAGCCCAGGAGGTGGTCAAGGCTGAAGTGAGCTATAATATTATCATGCCACTGCACTCCAGTCTGGGTGACAAAGCAAGACCCTTTCTCTAAAATAAAAAATAAAAAAAGTACTGAGCTTAACTGGACCAATAACAATAAAAGAGATCAGAATAGGTGATCTAATTAAAGGGAAAAAAGAAAAAAAAGTCTAGGCTGTGTCCTAAGGTCATTAACATTTAGTTCTGCACAGTGAGAACTATTGGTCTCTAAGTAGGCTTATCAAAACATTTCGTGAATTGTTAAGAATGGTATCTATATCAAGTTAAATAAATAAAAAACACTAAAAGTAACCAAAAGTGCTTTGATAATTCAGAAAGTCATGGAATTAATCAGAATGCCAGCTCTTCATCTGTGCTAGCTAACTGAGATTTTATTGGGTTTTTTTTTTGTATATATAAACTAACTCTCTATAGAGAAGAAAGAGTACACTTTAAAAATATTGAGGTACTTACTTAAAATTTCATCTATATTCTCTGTATCAAGACTTGTTATTTCAGTTGTTACAGGAGTAAAAACCCAAGTTACCTGAAAATTTAAAAAATGAGAAATTAATAAATGTGTCCACAAAAGACAAATACGTAAAAGCGAAGTCTAAAAATAAATGTGTGATTCCACTTGTTCCTTAGAAAATTATACATCAATTGAATTGAATCTTTATTATCTAGTCTAATCTTTTACTAGATAAATGAAATAGGAGAAATATTAGCTTCTCAAACCTAGAAATTGGTCAAATAAAACTTTCTATACTTGCAAATATACAAAATAGCTTCTAAGGAATTAGGAAAACTGGGAATATACATATCTTTTCAAATTAACACTTTCAAGAACTTTATAGCACCACAAGAAAAAATTTGTGAGATTATCAGTGTTTAAAGTATAAACATAAAAACCAAAGCTAAGTCTGCTGATTCTATCCTGCCATGTTTCTAAGACAGAAGAAAATAATGAAGAATGCAAGAAAGACTTTTGCAAGTTGTAAACCAAAAGCCCTTCCGGTATAATTTTCACTTATTGGTGACAACAATGTGTTACATGAGAGGCTATTAAAAAGAAAATAAGAATGTTTTTGCACTTTAATGAACCTGAAATCCAAAGTTCAAGTTTATCAAAGAAAATCTTAGCCTCCCATCTACAAAACAAAGAAAATATAAAATTTTAAACTAAACTAGCAAATGTTTACTTATTTTAAAAAGTAAAATTTAGTGTATTTTATTTTTAGTTTCCAACTTCAATGACTTGGTGTTTGCTGCCTGAAGAGATTTTTGTTTGAAATAGAGTTTGTGTATGGAAATTCACTTACTAAATCATTGCTTTTTACTGAATGACAACTAATGTCAGGCTCTGATCAAAGTGCTGAAGACTATTCCTTTGCCCACCCATTTCCTGAATACTTCAGCACTTATGACAGACTCAAAACTTTTATAATTCACCAACAATTCAATCTAAATGCTATAAAGAGATACAATGATGCTAGTATATACATAAGCCCAACTAATTTTTAAAAATATTTCTGGGCTGGGCATGGTGGCTCATGCCTGTAATCCCAGCACTTTGAGAGGCCAAGGCGGGCAGATCACAACGAGGTCAAAAGATCGAGACCATCCTGGCCAACATGGTGAAACCCTGTCTCTACTAAAAATACAAAAATTAGCCGGGCATGGTGGCAGGTGCCCGTAGTCCCAGCTGCTCGGGAGGCTGAGGCAGGAGAATCACTTGAACCCAGGAGGTGGAGGTTGCAGTGAGCTGAGATTGCACCACTGCACTCCAGCCTGGGCAACAGAGCAAGACTCCGTCTCAAAATATATAAATAAATATATATATAAATATTTATAAAATATGTATAAATATATATTTATAGAAATGTATATATTTATAGAAACGTATATATTTATAGAAACGTATATATTTATAGAAACGTATATATTTATAGAAACGTATATATTTATAGAAATATATATATTTATAGAAATATATATAAATATATATATTTATTCTGTTCTTAGGAAAGGCCTAAGGATAACACTGTCTTATTTTTAAATTACCATTAACGGTGTAGCCAATAACTATCATGTCTGTTAGCAACCAATAAATTATACTCTCCTAAAAGTAGGCTAAATAATTGCAAATCTCCAAATATTTGACTTATAAAACTAATTTCATTATTTTCAGTGCCTCAAACATTAACTAGAAAGATCAGACTTCCCTCACTAGTCATTAGTTACTATTGATGGGGTTTAGAACACATTACTCCAAAATATGGCACATTGGCATTTGAGGAAATAGCAGAAGCAAAAAGGTCTCCCTGACCTTCTCCTGCCCTTCTTCCCTAAAACAGGTCATAAAATAATTCTCTGACATTACTCTAAAGTAGGTCTTAAGACCCCGCTAAGAGACGTATCCTCTAGACCCTGAGAAAAGGAATATCCCAATCTCTGCGGACACAGAGATACCAAGAAGAATCTAAACTAACAGTTTCCCCAGTTTATTACTATTAGATCATACCCCCTTTGTCCAGTCGTATGTCTGTACATCAACCTATGAATAAAAATAAAGTTTTTCCCACTTCTTTGGGTTGTAATTTCTGAAGGCTCCCATGTCATGTAAAACTTATATTAAATAAATTTGTATGCTTTTCTCTTGTTAATCTACCTTTTATTATAGGAGTCTCAGATATGAACCTAGAGATGGGTAAGAAATCTTTTCTACTCTACATTATCAATGTCTTAATAACAGATCCTGGCTTCATAAGTATCTGACCAGTTCTAGATAACTGTGGAACCCAATAATATTGGTAATAGCAAGATTTTACACCTGTGTGCTAAAGAAAAACTTAAGAAGGCAGAAAAATATTATCATAGAACAATGAAGTTGGCATTATTGAAGTCAAGTCATTAAATAATTCAATAATATTTACAGTGTCTACTAGGTACTGAGGGCACAAATGCATACGGCATGGTGTGCGCTACCTCAAATCTGGGTAAGTGGTATAGCCATCACTCAAACATCTATCATTTCTTTGTGTTGGGAACACTCCAAATCCACTCTTTTGGTTATTCTGAAATATTTTTGAAGAGTTAATTATCATCTATCAAAATATGTAGAGAGAATATATGTTTAAAATCTAAAGTTAATAGCTTTTTACTAGCTGGACACAGTGACTCATGCCTATAATCCCAGCACTTTGGGAGGCCAAGGCAGGAGGACCCCTTGAGGCCAGAAGTTTAAGACCTGCCTAGGCAACATAGCAAGACCCTGTCTCTACAAAAAACTTAAAAAATTAGCCAGGCATGGTGGCACATGCCTGTAGTCCTAGCTACTGGGGAGGCTGAGGCCACTGGATCACTTGAACCCAGAAGTTCGAGTTTGCAGTGAGCTATGATTGTGCCACTGCACTCCAGCCTGGATGACAGAACAGGACCCTGTCTCACAAAAAAAAAAAAAAAAAAGAGAGAGAGAGAGGGAAATTGATTTTACCTTGAAATACTTACATGGCAAAAATATTTACATGCTAAGTAATGGCAAAAATGAGGCAATGATCAATTTGGCTGTATTAAATAGATAACTATTACTTTAAAAATACTGTGCTAATAAATATGCAAGTGATAAGATTGGTATTTTGCTAACAGTTGTGTTTGTTAAGAGGGCCCAAAGCAAGAAAACTCTCTGACCCAGTAATCTCTGCTCCCTGTAGGGTGTAAAGGAGGCAGTTTCCTGTTAGCTTATCATTAACATTTCTATTAATATGCAGTATGAAGGGAAAGACGGGTTGTTTATTTGAACTGTTAGTAAGCTCCACTAGTCGGACAAATTGTTTTTTTTCCTGTCAGCCCTGGGCAGCAACAAGATTCTCCCGGGAAAACATCTTCATGTGTCAAATGCTATAGTGCTTAAGTAAAATAAAGTATGACTCCAGACCATAAAGCTTTTGATAGGGATCATTAATTTTTGTTTTCAATTTAGACTTGAATAAAACTTTTAAATTTACGTTAAAAACAAAATAAAAACTTACATGGAAATTTTCATAGATCTTAATAGTCATGAAGAATATAGTCTCTAATGATGAAATATTTAGACAACATATACAAATATACAGATATGAACTTAGGAAGTATTTTACAACTTGGTCATTCTCTCCAGCTTATTAGCTCATTTTCTTGCCAAGAAAGCAGAGCAGAGTGGCATCTTTAATCATCTCTCATAATTCATTAGATAACTCCTCCATGCATTTACTGTACCAACTATTACAACATTTCAGCCTAGTGATGGGATCTCATATAAAAAGGCATACCAGTAAAATGGCAAATACCATACCCAAATTCATTTAAAAGACTAATAAAAGTGAAAGGCTAGCTTTCAATAGCAGGAGCTTCTTCAGCAAGGAAAGAATGTTTTCTTCCATTAGATGGTTATTAAAAATTTATATCTCTCCCTGCTCTGAACACCAAGAGCACTTTCTATAGGGTGTTAACATATTATTCTGTCTTTAAGAAACAAATTAATTCTATCCTTAAATTAGTTATTTGCACTGGTGTCTTACTTCCTCCAACAGACGGGGAGTACCTTGAAAGTAGAGACCACCTTATTCAATTTTGTATCCCACAGATCACTGTACCCTGTTTGTACACAAGAAACATTCAAATATGTACTAAATGAATGATTAGATGGATGAATAGGTAGATGATGTTAACACACTAAGAATTTAGAGAGACGATATTGGATATGAGAAGTAGGAGGAAAAGGTCCAGAAATTGAAATTGCGAACAAACATTTTAACATGTTTGAGGAAACTGAGGTTATCAAATAAAAATAAAGTCTATACTATAATTTGGTTTTAATTATATAATAGCAAAAAGCACACCACTTGGTGATGATCCACAGACTTAGAAGGAATCTCACAAAGGATCTTCCCACCTATTGCAGAAACCCCTCTACATCACTACTTAACAGTTGGTTCCCCCAGCTGTTCTTTGGTACGATTTCCAGGCACTTCAGCACATACAGTCACACTGCATAAAAATGTTTTGGTTAATGAGAGGCTACATATATGACAGTGGTCCCATAAGATTATAATGAAGCTGAAAAATTCCTGGAGCCTCTTGATGTCTTGATAATCCTGACCCTGTGTAGGTCTAGGCTAATGTGTGTATTTTTGTCTTGGTTTTCAACAAAAAAGCTAAAAAGAAAAAAATATTTTAATAAAACAAGCAAACAGAATGAGGTTATAAAGAAAGATGTTTTTGTACAGCTATGTAACGTGTTGGTATTTTAACCTCCATATTATAACAAAAGAGTCAAACGTTTATACAGTTAAAAAGTTACAGTAAGCTAGTTAATTTAGTATTAAAGAAAAAAGATATTTTAAAATACGTTTAGTATTGCGTAAGTTTACTGTTTATAAAGACTACAGTAAGGTACAGTAATAACTTAGGCCTTCTCATTCACTCATCACTCACTGACTCACCCAGAGCAACTTCTAGTCCTGCAAGTTTCATTCATGTTAAGTGCCCTATACATGTGTATAACTTTTTATCTTTTATACTATATTTTTACTGTGTCTTTTCTACGTTTAGATACACAAATACCATTGTATTACAATTACCTACAATATTCAGTACATTAACATACTATACAAGTAGCCTAAGAGTAATAGGCTATTCCATATAGCCCAGATGTGTAGTAGGCTATACCATCTAGGTTTGTGTAAGTATATTCTATGACGTTTGCACAATGACAAAATTGCCTAATGACACATTTCTCAGAACATATCCCCGTCATCATGCCATGCGTGACTGTACTATATACTTGAAAATTCCTAAGAGAGTCTATAATATTCTCACAACAAAAAAAAATAAGTATGTGAGGTGACAGATATGGTAATTAGCTTCATGTAATCATTTAACAATGTATACATATATCAAAATATCTCATTGTACATCATAAATATACACAATTTTTGTCAATTATACCCTAATAAAGCTGCATGGTGGAATAAAGCAAATCATCCATAAATTACCACAAAACAGAAGAAGAGTTATATTACATTAGTGGATAAAAATTCAACACTTCTTGTACAGTGCTATAATTTAAGGTTTTTAATTCAGTCATGAAAATAAATGATTTGAGACTTTCAGGACTAGAGGCTAATAAAACATCAGGTAAAAGAGGTTATCAAACATTACTCCTGTTAATAAGATTTCTAATTCATAGACGCATTAGCTAGGTGTCAAGTGTTTTCTTAGAATATCTTAGTAAATGAGTTTAGAAAACAAGAAGTATTTCTAGTGAGTTTGTTTATTTAAAGCTCAATATCTTAAAACCTTGATATTTAAAGTGTGGTCTCTGAAACTGCCACGCTGGTATCACCTAGGAGCTTGTGAGAAATAGAGAATACTAGGCCCCACTCTAGACCCACTGAATGAGAAGCTCCACTTCAGTAAGATGCCCAGTTGATTCCTATGCACACTAAAGTTCAGGAATACTGTTTTGGAAAGCAATTTTTTTTACTCTAGGAGCAAGCGTGTAAATTCATTTTAAACTCTGTACAATGTTTTTGATCCTCAAATATGAACACAAGTACAAGTAAGACTCATCTGTGACAATGCATTGACATGCAAATTGCTGTGCTTTTAGAAAAATGTAGAATGAATCTGTAACCTATCAGAGATGTACATAGATGTTAATTTTTTAAAGTATACTGTCTTCTGCTCAAAAAAACAGCTTAAACAGATATTTCTGCATGAAATCACTGTCATAAAATAGAAGCTTCAATAAGGGATGTTTCTTTCCCTGTGGCATTACTGTTCTCAGTTGGCAGTACATCTGCTAGGCATTCTGCTGTAATAGCTTAGTGTATTTTTGCTAAATCTTTCATTGACTTGCCTTTCTGTTGGGAGATTCTCAGAGCCCTTTCTTTACAAACTATGTCTCTCCTATAGCAAAAAACAAGCAATGTACCAGGCAACAGTTATCTTCCATTTCTAATCTAGATTGACAAGTCAGCCTACCATCTGAAGTCCCAATGCCCTGAGACCTAGGCTGCTTCTCCTCCCTGGGGACCACTTCCCTGACTCCAATCAGTCCACTCTTGCTTTCAGTTTCGCATTAAGCTCGCAGATAAGAGAAGTATAAAGGTTTCCAGTTGGCTTCAAGGAGCAGGAGATGTTGAAATGTCCCTGGAGAAAAGAAGCTGAGGCTGACAGGAACTATAAGGGCCTTGAAGTTGGGTATCAATCAAGGCACATCTCACACTATTCACATTCCCAGAAGCACTATAATGAACTAGAAGTTCAAAGAGAGGGGAAAAATAGGACTAAGTATAGAATAACACTGGGAAGCCACTTTAACCCTTAAATTGTTCAGTAGTACAACCTTCCTATAGCATCAGTGCAACCCATCTTGGTCATGTGAGAACCAACCTGCATTTATAAAGAAACACTAGAAGAAT
Source organism: Homo sapiens (assembly GCF_000001405.40). NCBI lineage: Eukaryota > Metazoa > Chordata > Mammalia > Primates > Hominidae > Homo > Homo sapiens. Next base: position 100,067,092 of record NC_000009.12, read on the forward strand.
TATAAGATTTCTGGACAGAGTGAGAGCCTGTCTCTAAAAAAACCAAACAACCGCTCTCGCTCTCGCTCTCCCTCTCGCTCTCCCTCTCCCTCTCCCTCTCCCCACGGTCTCCCTCTCCCTCTCTTTCCACAGTCTCCCTCTGATGCCGAGCGGAAGCTGGACTGTACTGCTGCCATCTCGGCTCACTGCAACCTCCCTGCCTGATTCTCCTGCCTCAGCCTGCCCAGTGCCTGCGACTGCAGGCGCGCGCCGCCGCGCCTGACTGGTTTTCGTATTTTTTTGGTGGAGACGGGGTTTCGCTGTGTTGGCCGGGCTGGTCTCCAGCTCCTAACCGCGAGTGATCCGCCAGCCTCGGCCTCCCGAGGTGCCGGGATTGCAGACGGAGTCTGGTTCACTCAGTGCTCAATGGTGCCCAGGCTGGAGTGCAGTGGCGTGATCTCGGCTCGCCACAACCTCCACCTCCCAGCCGCCTGCCTTGGCCTCCCAAAGTGCTGAGATTGCAGCCTCTGCCCGGCCGCCACCCCGTCTGGGAAGTGAGGAGCGTCTCTGCCTGGCCGCCCATCGTCTGGGAGTTGAGGAGCCCCTCTGCCTGGCTGCCCAGTCTGGAAAGTGAGGAGCGTCTCTGCCCGGCCGCCATCCCATCTAGGAAGTGAGGAGCGCCTCTTCCCGGCCGCCATCCCATCTGGGAAGTGAGGAGCGTCTCTGCCCAGCCGCCCATCGTCTGAGATGTGGGGAGCGTCTCTGCCTGGCCGCCCCGTCTGAGAAGTGAGGAGCCCCTCCGCCCGGCAGCCGCCCCGCCTGAGAAGTGAGGAGCCCCTCCGCCCGGCAACCACCCCGTCTGGGAAGTGAGGAGCGTCTCCGCCCGGCAGCCACCCCGTCCGGGAGGGAGGTGGGGGTCAGCCCCCGCCAGGCCAGCCGCCCCGTCCGGGAGGGAGGTGGGGGGGTCAGTCCCCCGCCCGGCCAGCCGCCCCATCCGGGAGGGAGGTGGGGGAGTCAGCCCCCCGCCCGGCCAGCTGCCCCATCCAGGAGGTGAGGGGCGCCTCTGCCCAGCCGCCCCAACTGGGAAGTGAGGAGCCCCTCTCCCCGGCCAGCAGCCCCGTCCGGGAGGGAGGTAGGGGGGTCAGCCCTGCGCCCGGCCAGCCGCCCCGTACGGAAGGTGAGGGGCGCCTCTGCCCAGCCGCCCCTACTGGGAAGTGAGGAGCCCCTCTACCCGGCCAGCTGCCCCGTCCGGGAGGGAGGTGGGGGGGTCAGCCCCCCGCCCGGCCAGCCGCCCCGTCCGGGAGGGAGGTGGGGGGGTCAGCCCCCTGCCCGGCCAGCCGCCGGGCCAGCCGCCCCGTCCGGGAGGTGAGAGGTGCCTCTGCCCGGCCGCCCCTACTGGGAAGTGAGGAGCCCCTCTGCCCGGCCAGCCGCCCCGTCCGGGAGGGAGGTGGGGGTTCAGCCCCCCGCCCGGCCAGCCGCCCCGTCGGGGAGGGAGGTGGGGGGGTCAGCCCCCAGCCCGGCCGGCTGCCCCGTCCGGGAGGGAGGTGGGGGGGTCAGCCCCCCACCCGGCCAGCCGCCCCGTCCGGGAGGGAGGTGGGGGAGTCAACCCCCCACCCGGCCAGCCGCCCCGTCCGGGAGGTGAGGGGCGCCTCTGCCCGGCCGCCCCTACTGGGAAGTGAGGAGCCCCTCTGCCCGGCCAGCCGCCCCGTCTGGGAGGTGTACCCAACAGCTCACTGAGAACGGGCCATGATGACAATGGCGTTTTTGTGGAATGGAAAGGGGGGAAAGGTGGGGAAAAGATTGAGAAAACGGATGGTTGCCGTGTCTGTGTAGAAAGAAGTAGACATGGGAGTCTTTTCATTTTGTTCTGTACTAAGAAAAATTCTTCTGCCGTGGGATCCTGTGGATCTGTGACCTTACCCCCAACCCTGTGCTCTCTGAAACATGTGCTGTGTCCACTCAGGGTTAAATGGATTAAGGGCGGTGCAAGATGTGCTTTGTTAAACAGATGCTTGAAGGCAGCATGCTCCTTAAGAGTCATCACCACTCCCTAATCTCATGTACCCAGGGACACAAACACTGCGGAAGGCCGCAGGGTCCTCTGCCTAGGAAAACCAGAGACCTTTGTTCACTTGTTTATCTGCTGACCCTCCCTCCATTATTGTCCTATGACCCTGCCAAATCCCCCTCTGCGAGAAACACCCAAGAATGATCAATAAAAAAAAAAAAGAAAAAAACCAAACCAACCAAAAAAAAGAAAAAAGAAAAGAAGCATTTATATGTACTGTATATATATTTGTAAGTGCCTGCTCTACTTACTGTGCAAATCCATTTCTTAGAATACTCTACAAAACTACTTTCAGACATTAATAATTATATAGGTACAAAGATATTTACTAAGGCTGTCTCTCCCTACTTGGAAAGCTGAGGCAGGAAAATCACTTGAACCCAGGAAATGGAGGTTGCAGTGAGCTGAGATTGAGCCAGTGCACTCCAGCCTGGGTGACAGAGTGAGACTCCATCTCAAAATAGATATATTTATTTCTAATAGTATGAATTACCCAGTTCAAATAAAAAAAAAATTATAAGATTTCTTCGTTAAATAAGTCAAAATATGGTGCAGAAATGCTTGAGAAAACAAATTCCATACCTCCAAAAAGTTCAAATATAGATAATACAAATCCTTAATCTCAAATTCTGCCAGTAAAAACAATCATGGACAAATAAAAAGAAACAAAATTTGTTGCAATTCATACTTTTTCTTGAATTTTAGTTATTTGATCATGCATGAATTTCCATTAAAAACTGATGTTATCTGTGTTTCGTTCTTCAGCGTATTTAAAAATGAGATTAACTAATTTACCTGGAACAGACAATGTATTTTTCTCTGACCTTCAAAGAGTATATTTTTGTTATAAAAAGTTTTTCAGAGCTGGGGGTGAACTTCTCAATGTGCGGAAAAAAATTATTCTCTTAAAATCACCACATTTTGCTCTTCTAAAACTCAAACTTCTAGCAATGGCAGTACTAACAAAGCATGGGAATTGGAAGAAAAGTCAAGATGAGAATTGTGACCATTCTACTTTGTGCTGCACTGTAATTCTTACCCAGGAAACTTGATGAGAGAAAGTTACCTTAAGAGAATCTACATACATGTTGGTACATACATCTTTTGTTCACTCACTCCTTCCACAAATATTTCACTGAGTCATCACAGTGTCAACATGCTAGACACTGTGAAAAACATAATTTGTACATGGTTACATTAATCTTACAAACTTCATTTTCACATTAAAAATAAAAGAGAGAAAGAAGGTTCTCTCATTCAAATATTTTAATTTAAAAGTCATCCATAATTCCTGCAAAGTCATTATATATTCTCTAAAGAAGATAACTGCTGGGCATTAAACCATGAGATTACTTGTATGTCAGTACTCTGTTTTTGCCTGGGTTTTCATGAAGCTTTGAATTAATTTTAGTGCAGAATGAATGTATCCACACTGTTACTGAACAATCTTTTAACATCACTAAAAGTGGAACAACCAAGTATTCTGCTTCTTGATGGGATGCAATACGAAACAGAAAGCACCACTTGTAAATATTCTTAACAACAACCAATTTGAACATGATCTCAATTTAATCAAGCCCAAGAAACTAGTGTATAAGAAACATTGGCTATAGAGGAACATCTTGTAAAATGACACCATGAGGATGCAAGCTGCCATATCGGATGACAGGAAATTTTACAGAAAACAATGATAGCCTATCTTCATTTGGCCTCCCCCCAGAAGTAGACTCTGAGACAAGGAGTTAAGCACAAGGAGTCAAGTATTTGGGAGATAAAGGAGGAACAGAGAAGTGAGACAGGGACAGAAACTCAGAAACTCAGGCAATATACTATAGCAGGTGAGCTATAGTATTGGTATACTAAACTTTGGAAATACCAATGTTTTCACTTGACTTTTACACAATTTTTCAAAGTTTATACTCAACAGATTGTAGTATCTCCTAAATTATATAAGGTTTTTTTTTTTTTTTTTTTGAGACAAGGTCTTGTTCTGTCACCTAGGCTGGAGTGCAGTGGCATGATCTCGGCTCACTGCGACCTCCACCTCCTGGGCTCTAGCAATCCTCCCACCTCAGCCTCCCAAGTAGCTGGGACTACAGGCATGTGCCACCACATCCAGCAAACATATAACATTCTTTAGCCCTTTTACTAGCTGTTGCTATTGGCACACACATTTCTACACTCCAAAGTATGAGGAAAATATCTCCTATGTGTCAAAGAATGCCTTTATTTCATTACTAAACATGTGGCCCTGACTGTTTTTGGGTGAGTAAATGGCCTTTAAGGAAAAACTGTCTTCAGTGAAACCTTGGCTTACTTATTTTCCACAGTCACTTAGTTCCAGAATCACTCTCAGACTTCCTAGTTTCTTATTCTTAAGTAGAGTACTGTACGTATTCTTGGGTAAAAATGTTTTTATTACCAAATCCCCTAATGATTCCATTACTATATATATCCAAAGTATTAATCCACTACTGACTTTAAAGATCTGTATTTTTTGGCCAGGCACAGTAGCTCACGCCTGTAATCCCAGCACTTTGGGAGGCTGAGGCAGGGGGATCACATGAGGTCAGGAGTTTGAGAGCAACCTGGCCAACATGGTGAAACCCTGTCTCTACTAAAAATACAAAAAATTAGCTGGGCGTGGTTGCGGATGCCTGTAATCCCAGCTACTTGGGATGCTGAAGCAGGAGAATCACTTTAACCCGGGAGGTGGAAGTTGCTGTGAGCTGAGATCACGCCATTGCACTCTAGCCTGGGCAACAAGAGTGAAACTCTGTCTCCAGAAAAAAAATAAACCTCTGTGTTTTAAAAATTACATTGTTACTTCTAACCAAATTAATTCTAAATATCAATCAGAAGTAGTCCTTGAGAGGCCATATACTTCTTGAGGTGCCTATCCTAATTAATGATCATTAGAAGAATCTTTAATGCTGTCCCATCTGCCACACATACTGTTTGAATTAGCTTTGTAAAGCAAACAGATTTATCTTTCATTTAGTCTAAAATACTCCCAGTGACAGTCTCAAAGCTTTCTTATATATTAAGGGTCACTAAGGTTGATCTTCATTACTACCACATAGTAGTTCAGCTTTCTAAGCACTTTTACCAAAAAGCTAATCAGAGAATGACCTTGGTGTGTTAAAAGGAAATCTGAATTTAGGAATCTATCTCCTTTGCTCATGTCTGTCCTCACTTTTGTACTTGCTGTGAGATGGAGGTACAGAAAGAAGAAGTAAGCATTGGCACAATTAGGAATATACTGTTTACTTTAATCCTCAAAACCATTTGGGAGGTAGAGAGAAAAGACCAACAAGCAGGGACAAAGGAAGAGAACTCATTTTTCTAAAAAACAGAACTAAAAAACAAAAAAGTTCTCTAACTCTCTCTTTTCTTCTTTTGAGATAGAGTTTTGCTCTTGTTGTCCAAGCTGGAGTGCAATGGAGCGATCTTGGCTCACTGCAACCTTCGCCTCCCTGGTTCAAGCGATTCTCCTGCCTCAGCCTCCTGAGTAGCTGGGATTACAAGTGTGCGCCACCACGTCTGGCTAATTTTTTGTTTTTAGTAGAGACGAGGTTTCACCATGTTGGCCAGGCTGGTCTCAAACTCCTGACCTCAGGTGATCTGCCCACTCTGCCTCTCGAAGTGCTGGGATTACAAAAAGTTCTCTAACTCTCTATCTTCTGGAGTTTTGAGGCAGTCAATCAACCTTAGAGGTAAGAAGGGCAATCTTCCAAGTCCCTGAGTCATCCACAACCTTCAAACGTTGAATCCTTCTGAATTTTAGATTTTTATAACATGTATTAATTAAAATAATGAGGTATAGGATGTCCTTAATTTCCTAATGTTTGAACTTCATGCTGACTCTTCAAAATTGCCCACTGAATATATGCTGCCTTTGGGCTTTAATGAAGCAGTTGACAAACATTTCAAGCAATTTTAAGTGGTGATTTGGATCTGGTAACAGTTCATTTCAGTCAAGAGGCAGATGATTTAAAAATAAGTACCCTGTAACAAACTCAAAACTTCCCAAGTACGGTTTCAAAGAGAGTATAAGCTTACATAATTCAAATTAAGAATTTCACATTCTATAGCCAAAGAGAATTTTAAAAGTAATGCATGATCAAGTTTTTTTTAAAAAAACTAAACAATTGGTCATTGTTTTCTTCTGAATATGAACTCTCATAAAAGCTTGCTTTTATAACTGTTACATAGAATTAGTTGAGATTATGATTAAACTACAATTGACCTTCTGCAGTCTATGAGTTGGGAGTCAAGAGACCTAGGTTTTGGTACCAGCTCTACCACTCACAATGTAACCTTAGGCATGCATTTCTCTACCTCCTGACCTCAGAGTTCTATTTGTCCATAAATAAGCTGAACTAATAATCTAAGGCTGCTTTTGATTCTGATGTTCTAAGATTCAGCAGAGATGTGGAGACGCCTTCTTTCAGTGGAATTTGTCTTCCATTGAAGATAAACATTAAAATCATTACTGGACTAAAAACTGTTTCACAAGAAATCATTCTCACATTTTTGACAAATACACAGCAACAGAAATTTTCAATTACATTCTACATAGGTGAGACTACATATACTAACCTCTAAGAAGTTAATATCCAAATGTGTGTTATCATCTAACAGCAGAGGCTTTTCAAACTTTTTATGACCATGATCCACAGCAAGAAATACACTTTACACTGCAGTCCAGGAAACAGAAACACAAATAAAAGTTTCTCAAAACTACCTATCCTTACTACATTCAATGCACAGTAGTATTTTCTATTCCTATCCTTTTAATTAATGTTGAATGTAAGCCCAATACAACAAATTAATGTATCCCAGTTTGCAGTTCCAAAAATACTGCTCTAAAGACTATTATACACTTATTCAAACAATACTGCTCAAAATATTTTGGAGAGAAAATCTCCTTTGGAAATCCCTTAAAAAGCCATGATCCATGCTTTTCAACACACTCCATCATTACAAAGCTAAGACTTTTGGGGATTAATCTTTCTGAAAAGGTAAATTTCGCTAGAGCCAAATGTCCAAAGTGGGTTATCACAGGAGTCCCCAAACCCAAGGCTACAGACCAGTACTAGTCCGCAGTTTCATCCTGAAACTATCCTCCCCACCCCCGTCAGTCTTCCACAAAACCACTGCCTGGTGCCAAAAACGTTCAAGACTGCTGGGTTATCACACTGAATAACACTATTCAGAATATTCTGACTCATGTAGAGCTCTAGCATTGGCTAATTAATCACGGTGTTCCTAGGAGTGAAATTGATAGGAAGCCTACTGCATTCCTACTTAATTTATATAAGGAAAAAACTTGTAGGTCGAATGGACAAAAGACTAATTTGAATTATAAACCGAGAATCATGGCCCCTCGATCAATTTCCAGACTTGAGCCAGTTTATAGACCCAGAACCCCTTGAATGAAGGGGAGGCTGAGTCCCCTTGAGGAAGGACCCCACTACACTACCAACAATTTATGCAGTGAATCTTTGTCCCATCCTTCCCCAAGGAGACCTCTGGCCTTTTACCAGGGTAACTGTGCATTGGAGAAAGGGAAATAATCAGACATTTTGGGGACTACTGGACACTGGATCTGAGCTGATGTTGATTCCAGGGGACCCAAAATGTCATCGTGGTCCTCCAGTTAAAGTAGGGGCTTATGGAGGTCAGGTAGTTAATGGACTTTTAGCTCAGGTCTGACTTACAGAGGGTCCAGTGGGTCCCCGGACTCATCCTGTGGTCATTTTCCAGGTGCCAGAATGCCTAATTGGCAGAGACACACTTAGCAGCTGGCAGAACCCCCACATTGGCTCCCTGACTGGTAGGGTGAGGGCGATGATGGTGGGAAAAGCCAAATGGAAGCCATTAGAGCTGCCTCTACCTAGAAAAATGGTAAGTCAAAAACAATATCGCATCCTTGGAGGGACTGCAGAGATTAGTGTCACCATCAAGGACTTGAAAGACGCAAGGGTGGTGATTCCCAGCACATCCCCATTCTACTCTCCTATCTGGCCTGTGCAGAAGATAGATGGATCTTGGAGAATGACAGAGGATTATCGTAAGCTTAACCAAGTGGTAACTCCAACTGCAGCAGCTGTACCAGATGTGGTTTCATTACTTGAACAAATTAACACATCTCCCGGTACCCGGTATGCAGCCATTGATTTGACAAATGCTTTTTTCTCCATTCCTTTCCATAAGGCCCACCAGAAGCTATTTGCCTTCAGCTGGCAAGGCCAGCAATATACCTTTACTGTCCTACCTTGGGGGGATATCAACTCTCCAGCTCTGTGTCATAATCTTATTCGGAGAGACCCTGATTGCTTTTCACTTCCACAAGATATCACACTGGTCCATCACATTGATGACATTATGTTAACTGGATCCAGAGAGCAAGAAGTAGCAGACACACGGGACTTCTTGGTGAGACATCTGCATGCCAGAGGATGAGAAATAAATCTGACTTAAATTTAGGGACGTTCTAACTCAGTAAAATTTCTAGGGTTTCAGTGGTGTGGGGCCTGTCGAGATATTCCTTCTAAGGTAAAGGATAAGTTGCTGCATTTGGCCCCTCCTACAACCAAGAAACAGGCACAACACCTAGTGGGCCTATTTGGATTTTGGAGGCAACATATTCCTCTTTTGGGTGTATTACTCCAGCCCATTTATCGAGTGACTCAAAAGGTTGCGAGTTTTGAGTGGAGTCAAGAACAGAAGACGGCTCTGCAACAGGTCCAGGCTGCTGTGCAAGCTGTTCTGCCACTTGGGCCATATAACCCAGCAGATCCAATGGTGCTTGAGGTCTCAGTGGCAGATAGGGATGCTGTCTGCAGCCTTTGTCAGGCCCCTATAGGTGAATCACAGTGGAGGCCTCTAGGATTTTGGAGCAAGGCCCTGCCATCTTCTGCAGATAACTACTCTCCTTTTGAGAGACAGCTCTTGGCCTGTTAGTGAGCTTTGGTGTAAACTGAATGTTTGACTATAGGTCTTCAAGTCACCATGAGACCAGAACTGCCTATCATGAACTGGGTGCTTTCTGACCCATCTAGCCATAAAGTGGGTCATGCACAGCAGCATTCCATCAGCAAATGGAAGTGATACATACACGATCGGGCTCAAGCAGGTCCTGAAGGCACAAATAAGTTACATGAGGAAGTGGCTCAAATGCCCATGGTCTCCACTCCTGCCACCCTGCCTTCTCTTCCCCAACCTGCACCAATGGCCTCATGGGGAGTTCCCTATGATCAGCTGACAGAGGAAGAGAAGACTAGGGCCTGGTTCACAGATGGTTCTGCATGATATGCAGGCACCACCCAAAAGTGGACAGCTGCAGCACCATAGCCCCTTTCTAGGATATCCGTAAAGGACAGCGGAGAAGGGAAATCTTCCCAGTGGGCAAAACTTCAAGCAGTGTACCTGGCTGTGCACTTTGCATGGAAGGAGAAATGGCTAGATATGTGATTATATACTGATTCATGGGCTGTAGCCAATGGGGATGGTCAGTGACTTGGAAAATTGGTGACAAAGAAATTGGGGGAAGAGGTATGTGGATGAACTTCTTTGAGTGGTCAAAAATTGTGAAGATATTTGTATCCCATGTGAGTGCTCACCAACGGGTGACTTCGGCAGAGGAGGATTTTAATAACCAAGTGGATAGGATGATCCATTCTGTGGACACCACTAAGCCTCCTTCCCCAGCCACCCCTGTCATCGCCCAATGGGCCCCATGAACAAAGTGGCCATGGTGGCAGGGATGGAGGTTACCCATGGGCTCAGCAACATGGACTTCCACTCACCAAGGCTGACCTGGCTTTGGCCACTGCTGAGTGCCCAGTTTGCCAGCAGCAGAGACCAACACTGAGCCCTCAATAAGGCACCTTTCCTCAGGGTGATCAGCCAGCTACCTGGTGGCAGGTTGATTATACTGGACCTCTTCTATCATGGAAAGGGCAGAGGTTTGTCCTCACTGGAATAGACACTTACTCCAGATATGGGTTTGCCTAACCTGCACACAATGCTTCTGCCAAGACTACCATCCGTGGACTCGAGGCATGCCTTATCCACTGTCAGGGTATTCCACACAGCATTGCCTCTGACAAAGACGCTCACTTTACAACTAAAGAAGTGTGGCAGTGGACTCATGCTCATGAAATTCATTGGTGTTACCATGTTCTCCATCATCCTGAAGCAGCTGGATTGACAGAACGATGGAATCGCCTTTTGAAGTCACAATTACAACGCCAACTAGGTGACAATACTTTGCAGGGCTCGGGCAAAGTTCTCCAGAAGGCCATGTATGCTCTGAATCAACATCCAATATATGGTACTATTTCTCCCATAGCCAGGATTCATGGATCCAGTAATCAAGGGGTGGAAGTGGCACCACTCACCATCACCCCTAGTGATCCACTAGCAAAATTTTTGCTTTGTGTTCCCACAACATTACGTTCTGCTGGCCTAGATGTCTTAGTTCCAGAGGGAGGAATGACACAACAACAATTCCATTAAACTGGAAGTTCAGGTTGCCAGCTGGACACTTTGAACTCCTCCTATCTTTAAGCCAACAGGCTAAGAAGGGAGGTACAGTGTTGGCTGGGGTGACTGACCCAGACTATGAAGATGCAATCAGTCTACTACTCCATAACAGAGGTAAGGAAGAGTATACATGGAATACAGGAGATCTGTTAGGGTGTCTCTTAGTATTACTATGCCTTGTGATTAACCACAACAGCCCAATCCAGGCAGAACTACAAATGGCCCAGACACTTCAGGAATGAAGGTTTGGGTCACTCCACCAGGAAAAAAAACACAACCACCAGGAAAAAAAACCACAACCTGCTGAGGTGCTTGCTGAAAGCAAAGGAAATACAGAATGGGTAGAACAAGGCAGTCATCAATACCAGTTACGACCATGTGGCCAGCTGCAGAAATGAGGACTGTAACTGTCATGAGTATTTCCTCCTTTTGTTAAAAACGTTTGTGCATGTATGTATACACTTGTACTAAGAAAATATCTTCAGGCCAGGTGCGGTGGCTCATGCCTGTAATTCCAGTACTTTGGGAGGCTGAGGAGGGCAGATCATCTGAAGTCAGGAGTTCAAGACCAGCCTGGCCAACGTGGTGAAACTCTCTCTCTACCAAAAATACAAAAATTAGCCAGGCGTGGTGGTGGGCAACTGTAATCCCAGCTACTCAGGAGGGTGAGGCAGGAGAATGACTCAAACCTGGGAGGTGGAGGTTGCAGTGAACTGAGATTGCGCCTCTGCACTCCAGCCTGGGTGACAGAGCAAGACTCTATCAAAAAAAAAAAAAAAAAGTCCGGGTGCAGCGGCTCATGCCTGTAATCCCAGCACTTTGGGAGGCAGTGGCAGGTGGATTGCCTGAGGCTGGGAGTTCAAGACCAGCCTGGCCAACATAGGGAAACCCTGTCTCTACTAAAAATACAAAAATTAGCTGGGCGTGGTAGCAGGCACCTGTGATCCCAGCTACTTGGGAGGCTGAGGCAGGAGAATCCTTTGAACCCAGGAAGCGGAGGCTGCAGTGAGCCAAGATCATGCCATTGCACTCCAGCCTGGGTGACGAGCAAGACTTCATCTCAAAAAACAAAAAAAGAAAAAAAAAAGTAAAGAAAAATATCTTCATTTTATTTATCACGTGACATGAGATTTATTGACTTCATATCAGCATTTAAGTATGTTAACTTTATGTAGTAGTATTTGGGTTGGGGATTGGTGCCTTTCAGGTTGTGCGAAGGATAGTTGTATTATGTTAGGCATAATTATGACTTTATCATTGCCTTTATTTAAAGATTATGTATGATCTCAGGAGATATATATGGGTTCAAGTTGATAAGGGGTGGACTTGTGATGGTTAACACTGAGTGTCAACTTGATTGGCTTGAAGGATGCAAAGTATTAATCTTGGGTATGTCTGTGATGGTGTTGCCAAAGGAGATTAACATCTGAGTCAGTGGGCTGGGAAAGGCAGACCCACCCCTAATCTGGGTGGGCACTATTTAATCAGCTGCCAGCATGGCCAGGACATAAAGCAGGCAGAAAAATGTGAAAAAGCTAGACTGGTTTAGCTTCCCAGCCTACATCCTTCTCCAGTGCTGGATGCTTCCTGTCCTCAAACATCAGACTCCAAGTACTTCAGCTTTCGCACTCAGACTGGCTCTCCTTGCTCCTCAGCTTGCAGACAGCCTATTGTGGAACCCTGTGATTGTGTGAGTTAATGCTCCTTAATAAACTCCCCTTTACACACACACACACACACACACACACACACACACACACACACAGACACCCTATTAGTTCTGCTTTTCTAGAGAACCCTAATACAAACATATTGTTCACTGCCACCACGCCTGGCTGACCCTCTTCTTAACAGGACTCTTTCAGTAGTCTAAGAAATGATCAAACATGAAAGCCATAAAAATATATATTATAATTTTTAATTTTGTTTATATCATGAGATGTAAAAAGAGCACTGGAAAATAGAATCAGGCCAGGAGCAGTGGCTCATGCCTATAATCCCAGCACTGCAGAGGCAGGAGGATCTTGAGGCCAGGAGTTAGAGACCAGCCTAGTCAGCACAGCAAGACCCCTCTCTCACTGTAAACATAAAAAATTAACTGGGCATAGTGGTGTATGCCTGTAGTCCTAGCTTCTTGGGAGGCTGAGGCAGGAAAATCATTGGAGCCCAGGAGTTCTAGGTTACATTGTACTATGACTGCAGCACTGCACTCTAGCCTGGGTGACAGAGTGAGTGCTGTCTTTAAAAAAAACAAAAAAAAAAAAAACAGAATCATAAACTTCAAAGATTATTCAGTTATATATAAAGTAAGTGTATTATTGTTTAATTTCCTATCATATTATCCTTGTCAATTCATCAATCCCCATATTAAATAAATAAATCCTCTATGGTTTCTGCTTTATTTAGGTCAAAATCATAGGTATTCAGAATTACAAAGATGAAGCGAGCCCTAGTTTACCTACTTTTAGAATACTCTTTCCCTTTCAATTCTCTTTCTCCTTAACAGCATCCCCGGCAGAATGGCCATTTACCCTACAATTGAACGCTTGCTATGACAGAGAGCTTACAGGAAAACCCAATCCATTGTAAAGTAATGCCGCTAGAAGGTTTTCCTTACAGGACTGAACATCTGCTCACCTTTAGGACTGAACATCTGCTCACCTTTCTCTTCTACAAATTGATGAAAATTCTATCATATACAGCTCATCAAGAACATATCTACCTACTCTTCCACAAGCTCATGGCAGTCCTCAGATGAGAACCTATGAAGATGAAAGCACTGCACCAGCTAAGGCCTGAAGGAAATTCAAGATACATTCTGTCCTGCAAGGGCCTACAATTCACTTAGGGAGATTTTAATGATCTAGTATAAAAAGTACATAATATGTATGATGCATATACTGTAAGGCTAATAGAAAGCATTACAGAGAAAATTTACAGACAGGGCCAAAAAAAGGCAGGGAGCACTGCATGGGTTGGATCAACGAGTAGTTTCTATGGATGAAGAGAGTAGTGAATCCTGGCTATGGAAGTTCATGTAGTGCCTCATTGGAAGATAAAGATGGAAGGTTAGGTTGGGGCAAGACTGTAAAGAGCTATGGAGTTGATCCTCCAATGAGCTGCCTTGCAAACGTGGGTACAGGAAACTAACATAATACAGCATCTTAATAAAGATGAGTATCCTGCCAGTATGTAGAATGACACACATTGAGGAATATAAGATTTAATTATAGTGATTACCAATATAAGAAAAAAAGCTTCCTATATATGAAAAGAACTACTTTTCAAAATAAACAAAAAACCTAGATTGCATAGTAAAATATATTTAGAAAAACTGAAAAAAAAATATGAAAATCAAGACTAAATACATCTATATCAGTAATTATAAAAGAATTTATATCAGTAATTATAAAAGGTTTAACTGATCTATTAAAAGTTTTCATAGTAGGTCACAGAGTAAAACCCAACTCTATTCTGAAAACAAGAGATATACCTATAAAAGATAGTAATTCCAACAGGTTGGAAATTAAAAAATAAATAAAATAATACTAGCAAATGCAAATAATGGAAAAGCTGGGGGATACCCATCTTTAGTTACTAAACAAAGTGGAATGGGGCCAAAAAGCATTTAATAAGACAAAAAGAAAAGGGCTCTTTCAAAAGCTAACAGCACAATTTACAATGACAGTGTAATAGTTGTAAACATCTATATGCGAAATAGCACAGCAGCAACATCTGTAAAGCAGAAATTATGGGAGATACAAGTAGAAAGAGAAATGAATCTGTAACATAAATTTTAATTTACTTCTCTCATTTCAATGACAGATCAAGTAAAAAAAAAACCATAAATATTAATAAAAATGACCTAAGTGAGATTTATTAATGTTAAATCTGATATAATCATCTCAATAGATGCTAAAAAGGTATTTGACAAAGTCCAACAGCATTCCTGATTTAAAATGCTAGTCACTTAACAGAAAAAATATACATCTGTCTCAGCCCAAAGCCATAATCACGTCTATTGGGGAAATACTAAAGGCATTATTACTAAATTTAGAACAAGACAGGAATGTCATTAAGAACACCATTATTTAACATTCATTTAACATTTTTGGAAGTACAAGACAAAGCAATTAGGAAAAACGTTGTAGGTATAAAAATGAGAAAGGAGGAGATAAAATTGCCACTCACTGCAAATCACATAACTGCATACATGACAACCAAAAACAAATTAACTAAAATAACACCACAAACAGTTAGAGACTGTGTATCAGAGTATAAGATTAATATACAAAATTAATAACATACACACACACAAAACAACTAGAGTATATAATAGAAGAGGAAAAAAGCCTATTTGTAATGCAACAAAAAAGGAACCAAATATCTAGGAATAAACAAAAAAATGTAAAAAAGCAAAAAAACTTTTAAATTATCCCAAAGGACATAAAAGGACACTTGAGCTTGTAGAAATATACACCACCTTCATGAACAGGAAACATCATAGAGCAGTCAAGCCTCCCTCAGTTAAAATATACATGCAATGTAATGAATAAAATACCAAAATGTTTTTTTAAACCAAAAAAGCCCATTCTAAAATATAAGCAGAAAACCACCATGGCACATGTATACCTATGTAACAAACCTGCACATTCAGCACATGTATCCCAGAACTTAGAGTGAAATATAAAAAATAATATATATATATATATATGCAGAAAAAAGGAACTGAAGATAAAGTCCACTAATAACCCCAAATAAAGACATGCTATACACCTCAAGTCAGAGAGAAAAGACAGGCACTTCAATAAACTGGTTTGGAACAACAGGCAGCCACCTGAAAAAACATATACAGTCGTCCATGGGTACCTACAGGAGATTGGTACCAGGACACTCCACCAAAATCCATGCATGCTCAGGACCCACAATTAGCCCTGTGGAACCCATAGATACAAAAAATTGGTCCTCCACATCCTCAGGCTTCGCATTCTATGAATACAGTATTTTAGATCTGCATTTGGCTGTGGACGTGAAACTTGCCAGATATGGAGGGCCTACTGTAGGAAAAAAAAAAAAAATCCACGTATAAGTAGATCCATGCAGTTCAAACCTATATTGTTCAAGGGGTTAACTGTATATTAAAAAGCATGCTCTAAATCCTCATGAGAATATATTTCAAATAAATATAAAGATTTACATATTTCCAATGAAACCACAAAAGTAGCCAAAGAAAATACATGAGAATTACTTTCAAATCTTGGAATGGAGAAGGAATTTCTAATTATGAATCATAACCCAAAGCCATAAAAGATTGATGAAACCACAAACACAAGCACACTTACTACACAAAACCACATAACAAATAATAGAAAGAATGAATAAACAAAAGAAAGAGAAAAGAAACTGAGAAAACATAAAAAGAATTTCCCTAAATTATAAAAAGCTCTGGAAATGGGTAAGGAAAAGACAACATCCCAATAAAAAAAAAGGTGAACAAAGATGATGAACATATAATGCTATTCACTGTAATATTATTTGTAATAGCAAAAGATTGGAAACAACCTGAATATTCATCAACTAGATAGTGGATAAATTACAATGCATCAATACAATGGAATTCTATGCCACTATGAAAATAAAAATAAGGACATTCTCTATGTACTAATGGAAAGACCTCCAAAATACATTATTAAAGGAAAAAAGCAAGGTGTATATAAAATAGACCACTGAAAGCCAGATAGGGGGGTTGATATCAGCTACAGCAAAAAATAAAAAGCCATGAGAAGGGTTGAAAGTACAATGAGTCAAAAAGTGTAAGACTTCAAACCTAGGTGACTGAGAACTGAAAGGGAAGACTATTTGAGAGAAAAGAATTTCTGTGCAGTCACAGATCTACTTCAATTTCACTAGTACATGCCTTGCTCCAGTCAATGGGAAAATAGCTGTCAGAAGATGAGACACCTTCTACCAATTAGCATGGGAAATTTGGAAATCGTGTTTGACTACCTTTTACACCCAGGACTAATGCATCAAGAAAGTAACACTGCCCAAGGCACTAATAAAAGCACTAACAGGCTCCTAGCTACTCCAATCTATAGAGATGCAAAAGTGAAATTGAATAGTGGTTATGAATTAAAATGACTGGCTATCAAGATGCAATAGGACGGGAGAAAAGCTCTAAGATAGTACATTAGAGAGTATCCACATTTATCTCCTTACGGTCTTCTGTCCCTTAAATGTAGATATTTTTCCCTTTTCCACCCCGTGAAAAAGCAAGAGAAAACAGTCAGATACAGAGGGAAAGACAGACGGACAGACAGATGGAACTACTGGAGCATAAAAGAACCAGAGAAAATAGCCTAACAGGGAAGAATGAGGTAGTTAACAGTAGGAAATGCTCTCAGAGTCTTACAGAAGACTTACCAAAGGATATTATAATTTGTAATTAGGAAGCTACTCCAACCTAGGGAATACATCACAGTCACTTAAAAAGTTAAATCATGTATGATAGCCTCCAGTATGTCAGACAACACGCTCTTCTATTTATAATCTTTCTAACTACAAACTTAAAAGTTTTCACAGATGCAAATCAAGCAAAACCACATTGACTCTGCCTGTCACCAACAGATAAAATTAGCCATCCCTTGTACAATGTGCCACTCTGGACTTATGCACAAGGGCATTAACAAACACCATTTCAGAACCTAAACATAAAGAGGATGACTGTGTATACTTTTAAATGATTTCCAACCAAACTTGTTTTGCTTTAATGGTATTGGTTTTAATTACCTAAAATATCTGACTGATATGAATTACTTCATTACCTGACAATGGGTTAATAAACTGATAATAATACAAGAGTTCATATTTCTCTTAAAAGAAATTGTGCCCTGAAGACACCCTTGTTGCTTCTTTAAACTAAAAACCATTTAAACAACCTGAATAAAAGTGCATTTAAAGATACCAAGAAAACATCTTTTATCCTATTTTTACAATATTCCAGAATATTTATTAACTAATACTTCAAAGTAATATTCAAAAATAAGTGACAGACTCTCCGAAAATCGTATCATACGGAACTATGGATAAAGCTCCCTGCTTATTTCCTTAAATACCACAATCCGTTTTGCATTAGAAGTAAGAGCTAAAGATAATCCAGAGACACTAGATACTACTGTAGAAAGGGGTATTCCCCAAATAAAGTAAGCTAAGAAAGGCATCAACCACAAAAAGCTAAGGCAACAAACACAACAGCCTTACCACAATTAACTAATTCAGTCATACTAGCCAGGTGGTTTATCTTGCCTCATGGTACAAATGAAGAAGAAAAACAGAACCCTCTGATTATTTTGCTACAGGATATTGGATACTTCTCAGAATTAAAAGCTATTAAAATTTACTGAGGGCTCGGTTATTATATATTTTAAAACACTTTTTTATTCAAGACAATAACTAGTGTGTATCAAGGAAGTCTTTATAATTTTACTTATCGTTGTAGAATGGAAAATACAATTTACCCTCCTCTTTTAACCAACTCTCCATCTTTCCAATGGTAGGTATATGTGTAACTATTAATGAGATCAGAAAAGCAAGACCATATAATGAACTTTTCTTTATCTCAAATTAAAATATCCATCATAATCAATCTTATCTGCCAACAGGTTCTCACCAAATACCTTCATTACAGTATCTAAACTTAAATAGATTTGTTAAATCCCCAGTTTCATCAAGTCTATAAACAGATTTAGCTTAAGGGCCAAAACTTACTAAAAGTAGTAAATACTACATATGCTTTTGTGTAAAAAAACTATACCCCCATGGAAGCAATATTCCAGACCACAGAACTATGATAACTATGGTGTACGTAAGTTAAGGTTACAGGAGCAAATGAAACTGCATAACTACCAATTTGAAATCTTCCACACTGGCTGGGTGCAGTGGCTCACGCCTGTAATCCCAGCACTTTGGGAGGCCGAGGCAGGTGGATCACCTGAGATCAGGAGTTCGAGACCAGCCTGGCCAACATGGTGAAACCTCGTCTCTACTAAAAATACAAAATTAGCTGGACATGGTGGCGCATGCCTGTAATCTCAGCTACTTGGGAGGCTGAGGTAGGAGAACTGCTTGAACCTGGGAGGCAGAAGTTGCAGTGAGCCAAGATCATGCCATTGCACTCTAGCCTGGGCAACAAGAGCGAAACTCTGTCTCAAAAACAAAACAAAAAATCTTCCACACTTAAACGGAATTTTTATTTTTTCATATTTTCAGTAATGAGAAATCTGCAGTATAATCTACTCTTTCCTTACTAAATTCAACTAGAGAAAGATTATATTTTTCTAAAGATTTGTCATCATTTTCCATATACCTAGTCAATTACAACAGTCAGAGATAATCTTTTTTGAATGATTTTGAATGTTCAAGGTAATAGAAACGATGTTTTTCTATGTAGTGCAAATGATACCTTTCAAACAGCAGGGCATAACGCATGTTTCCTCACTTTCATTTATACCACTTACAGGAATTTATTTGCTTTTGTATTAAAAGCTGAAATGCATATCAAGTTAGATTTTTATTTCTATCAATCATAATTATAGTTGTCACTATTTTGATAAGGCTATGTCATAACTTACCAAAGGAAAGAGACAAGTTAACAAATACTTTAAGAAACCACTAATATCTAGACTTGACTTTTAAAATTAAAAGCCTCACCCATTTACTCATTTCAGAGAGTCAAAAGATAACAATCACAGAAGGATGGTCAGCACAAGCACTATCCTTTTCTAAGGTGCTTTCTCCATTTCACAACGACTCCATTCACTTAACAACATTTCCTTCTCTACTATTACTTTACAAACAAGTATCTCCTACATGCCAGACATCATACAATGTCCTTTACATACATTATATCTCAATCTCACAATCTTGCAGAATTATTATTCCCACTTTTAGAAAAACTGATATTCAAAAAGATAAAGAAATTTGCCTACTATCACAACAGCTAAAAAGAGAGGGAGCTAGGAATGAAGCAGGTCTTTCCAGCTTCAAAGTCACTCTACCTTCTAGTACTCTCAGTTACCCCAGAAATCCAGACCATAGAACTACTTCCATAATTGATCAACTCTCCCTGAAAGGGAAATACATTGCACACCTAGCCTTCTGGGGAAAGAATCCACACAACAAACACATGTTTGAAGCATCCACAAATATTTTAATCTAACAGTATCTTCTATCAACAGTTTACAAACATGTATATTATCTCTTTAAATCATCATAGCAACTCTGAACGTGAAGTAGGAATTACATTATCCCTATTTTATAAATAAAAAAAAAAACTTTGCAGTCTCTGGCATACAGTAAAAGGGAGAATATTTATTAAATGAATAAGATTCAAATAAGCTAAGTGACGTGTCCAAATTAATGGCAGAACAGAATTCAAACCCTAATCTCCTTTAATTCTAAAACCAATGGACTATACGACAAAACACAACTCCCTCCATAAGCTTTTTTCAAAATAATATAACAAATTTATGTATAACACTAATTAAAATACAGTTATAAAACAGAGCTAAGCTGATAACTTATTCACTTAACAGTCACATTTTTAAGCTGTTTTTGTTGGCATAATGACAATGTAATTATTAGGATAAGAAGACCACAGACCACAAAGGCCGGAAGCTGGTCAAGTGAACTCATTACATCAGTGCACACAATTTTAATACCATTGGACAGACAACTTGAAAGTTTCAAAAAAAGGGTATCTATTTAGTCATTCATTCATTCACTCAGTCCCTCATCTTAACATTTATTGAACACCTATTATGTGGCAAAAACCAGGAGAGTTTAGTTTCTTATAATGCACTACAGACACATTCAGTCTCATTAGCTGCCCCAGAACTAAGCAGGAGAGGTCTTTATCTCTATCTGATATGTGAGAAAATGGAAACTCAGAAAGGTTAAATAACTTTTTGAAGTTACATGGTCAAGCTAGGAGTTATTTCCAAGTGGTAGAATACATCTAAGCATGTGGTATCTTTTCTTTCTATATTTCTATGAACCAGAAGTCTACCACTCTACATCAGGATTAAACAAAAAGAGCCCAATCTTATATTGTTCAAAATATACACATTACTATTAAAAATCCATACGCATATGCACAGAATAAAACCGAAAGGAAATACACTAAAATGTTATCAGTGGTTAGTGTACGCATTTTTTTCTTCATTATGCTTTTCTGTACCATGAAAGTGTTATCACTTTCGGGAATCAAAAAACACGTCAGGAAATCTTTTGGTTTAACATTTTAAGTTACTACAACAGTATTTTTCACACTGCAAGTTGGGACCCCTCCTGTAACAGAGAATCAAAACAACAAAGGCTACTCCCAACAGAGGCAAATGGGGCAAGGCTGAAGAGATCAATAATATCAGCCACCCAGTTAGGAAGTTCTTCCCTACTGAGTCAGATCAGCAATTTTTAAAAAATAAAATAAAGCACAGAATAGAAAAAGAAAAACAATTATCAGTAAACAACATACATAGTAAGGGCAAGTACACTTTTGCAAAATATGTTTTAACTAAATGACTTCATCTTCTAATATGCTGTATCTTATTCACTATATGACAATCACGCTGCTCTCCTTGCTATTTCTTGAATATGCCTGGGACACTCCCACATTAGGGGCTTTGCACTGACTAACGGCCCTGCCTGGAAGGCTCTTCTTCCAGGAAATCCAAATGACTAACTCCCTCACTTGCTTCAAGGCTCACCTGTCCCGTGATGCTTACAAACTACAACTCCCCTAATACACTCCTGATCCTTCTCACGTAAGCCCTACCTTTTCTTTTTCCACAGTACTTAAATTGTTATTAAGCATTTACTCTATAATAAGGCATTGTACAACAAACTGAGATCTAAGAATGAGAAAAGGGGATACCTTTCACCACTTTTTGTTTCATAAAATCATAATAGTAGCATGGAATAACACCACCACTTAGGAGTCAGACATAATACCAGTATTATTCCTCAGAAGTTAATAGGAAAATAGAGATGTTAAGAAGAAAGAAGGGTGGTGAGTAGCAGATCCAAGATTTGGGCCCAAATCCCTGATCCCTAAACTAAATATTCTTCTAAAAGTTTTCTCTTTAGTCTATATATATTCAAGCGATCATTAAGGGAAAGAAATACTTCGAATATTCCAGAAGATATCCTAAAACCAGAGTACAGGTACAAATAAACAAACTGGATGATTTCTGAAACAAATAAGATACATGCTTTAAAAATGTAGCACAGTCTTTACATTAGTCCCCTTTATCCAACCATGATCTGAAAACATTAAATGGAAAATTCCAGAAATAAACACTTTATAAGTTTTAAATTGCATGCAGTTCTAAGTAGTGTGATGAAGTCTCATACCATCTTGCTTCAAATTAGGTGGGATGTGAATCATCCTTTTGTCCAGCATATTCCCACTGCAGACATAACCCGCCCCTTATCAACTGTAGTGGTACTGGAATCACAATACTTGTGTTCAAAAACCCATACTTTACTTAATAATGGCTCCAAAGCACAAGAGTAGTGATGCTGGCAATTAAGATATGCCAAAGAGAGGCCAGGCGTGGTGGCTCATGCCTGTTAATCCCAGCACTTTGGAGGGCCAAGGCAGGCGGATCACCTTAGGTCAGGAGTTCGAGACCAGCCAAGCCAGCATGGCAAAACCCCAAATCTACTAAAAATACAAAAATTAGCTGGGTGTAGTGGCGAGTGCCTGTAATCCCAGCTACTCAGGAGGCTGAGGCAGAAGAATCGCTTGAACCCAGGAGGCAGAGGTTGCAGTGAACCAATATCACGCCACCGCACTCCAGCCTGGGTGACAGAGTGAGACTCCATCTCAAAAAAAAAAAAAAAAAAAAAAAGATATGCCAAAGAGAAGCCATAAAGCGCTTCCTTAAGTGAAAAGATGAAAGCTCTTGACTTTAAATGGAAAGAAAATAAATCATACGCTGAGGTGGCTAAGATCTAGATTAAGAATAAATCTTCTATAAAGAAACTGTGAACAGTATATTTTATTATTAGTTACTATTGTTGATCTCTTACTGTGCCTAATTTATAAAGGAAACTTTATCATAGGTATGTATGTATAAGAAAAAACATAGTATATATAGGGTTCGGTATAATCCACAATTTCAGGCAGACACTGAGCATCTTGGAACATTACCTCCTGTGGATAAGAGGGGACTACTGTAACTCTAAAGCAAAATTAGGGTCTCTGAAACTGTTCATTTCATTCAAAGGTTAAACTAACAAAGAACTAAGTATTTTACAACATTGTAATACTTTTGTTGTTAGCACACTACAAGACTTCCTGTGAGGAAATAATATCCACTCCTACAGTAAAAATTCCTGCTATTTAGAAAGTTTGAGGAATGAGTCCATTTGAGTAGCTGTTTTCTAAGAAATTATTTTGACTAGCAAAAAAAGAAAAAAAAAGTAGCTATTCTTTATTCTCAGCCCTTTCAGAGGTAAAATCATTACAGAAGTGTAAGCTTATCACTGGCTAGCTGACATTTTACTGTACTTGGGCCAGAACTCCAGTAATAAGTCAAAGGAACTGAGGATGTGCAGGTTTCTTCTCTCAAGGTAACGCCAAATGACAATACATTATCTTACACTTGCAGCTGTTCTATAAGCAAAGAGATAGACTTCAATGATGTGTTGGTAATTTTTAAAAGCTGGCATTTCCCCCTACATTATTTAAAACTTCAAATACAACAAAACAGGCCTGGCACAGTGGCTCACGGCTGTAATCCTAACACTTTGGGAGGCTGAGGTAGGTGGATCACCTGAGGTCAGGAGTTTGAGACCAGTCTGGCCAACATGGTGAAACCCCGTCTCTACTAAAAACACAAAAATTAGCCGGGCATGGTGGCAGGCACCTGTAATCCCAGCTACCTGGGAGGCTGAGGCAGGAGAATCACTAGAACCCAGGAGGTGGAGGCTGCAGTGAGCCGAGATCACGCCATTGCATTCCAGCCTGGGCAACGGAGTGAGACTCTGTTTCAAAAAAAAAAAAATATACAACAAAACAGCTAAAGAGCAGGCTTGTAAATATGAGTGCGTACTGTCTATAGGACAAGAAATTTTAACTCTAACATTTTATTTTGTAGATGCATTCATAATCTATATTCCTAATGACCTCTTTTTTATTTTTAAAAATTTATTTTTCCCAGAAGGATGTCAAACATGACCTAACAACCTTTTTCTAAAATTTCTTAAATCCATTCACCAAAGGTCCCACTACTAGACTATAATAAGGAAGAAATGGAAAAAGTACTGGTATTCTACTATTCAGCCTATGGTTTTCTTTAGCTCAAATACTACTACAATGTTTTTCTGAGATGGGTTTCTTCTGCTTTTTTGTTGCTTTTCTCTACTATATTAGCAATGTTCGTGTCTACAAATTCAGGTGACTTAAAATTAGAGTCCAATATAATGCTCAAAGTTCTACATAATGATGAAATCTCAGGTTTGTAGGAATTGCAGAGATGAATGTGGTGACCACAATATCACCAAGGATTCCCAAAGCAGTTAGAATTCGATTTCAGTCTTTGCAAGGACAGAACCAAGACCCACAGCATTACAGAAGGGACTTCTCCAAAGTGGCATTTTATTCCTCTCCCCTCTTGAATGGACTAATCTGAAGGCTAGTTAGAACCCACTAAAGATCATGATTTTTATTTTTGCTAAGTTGATAACAAACTGTTTTAATGAAGTTGGCCAAAGGGTTTGCCAGCTTCTTTAGGGCCAATTCTGACATTTGGCCACGTCAGCCAACCAGACAACAAGATTTCTTAAAAATAAAACAATAAAAAACAAGTATTCAATTGATAGAAAAGATTTACTATGTTATTGAGAGGCACTGCCCTTTTTCTTCATTCCATTCAGGACTGAAAATAAGTTGATCCATTTAACTATTCAAGGCAATATTCAAATTCATCTTTTTCCAAGACTACTCTGATTCCTCCACTGAGAAATAATTTGTTTCTTCCAAACATCCATGGCAGTATTTCTCGAACTTTTATGTGCATATGAATCATCTGGGTATAAGTTCTTAAAGTGCAGGTTCTGATTCAGTAGGTCTGAGGTGAGGTGATCTAAAAGGTCTCATATGATGCTGATGCCTGGGCTCACAATCACACTTCTGAGTAGCAGGATCTATAACCCACTTCTACAAACACCTTTGGCATCCATTACTTTCCTTTTGGTAGTCTAATTATTTATATATATATCTTCTCTCCTCATCTGAATTACTAATTTCTTGAAGGCATGATATGCATCTCAATGATCTTTTTCTCCTCCATAGTAGATTGCAAATAGACTTTCAAATGATAGGCAGAAAAGAAAAATAATAACAAAGATACAGATTAAGTTTCTGCAGCCTGGGCCATAGATGAGTTCCTCTCTATGGAATCAAAGTTAGGCTAAAAATCAATAAATGTTGCAAAAACTCAAACTGTTTTTAATCTTCTTGGTTAGAAGAAATAGAGTACAGCAAGAGTCAATATCAGATAAGCTGTGACAAAAGCATGCTAAGCATGCCCCATACACATGTGCAACATGCTGACAAGCTAGCAGATTTTTAAAGGAACTACCCAATCAAATAATAAGTCTATAATCAGTAGGAGCTAAAGGAATACCCTTTTGTAGTCTATCTTGAAAATAAGATAGACTACACAAAGAATCATTGAATCATCAAATCCATGTGCTTACGTTATAGACAAGAAAAACAAGTAATTTAACCAAGGTTATGATGGTTAAGTAAATGGAAGAGTCGGAACTTACATAGATGCCATGACATCTACTTTTGCATTACACTGCCTTTTGAATGGAGACTAATGAAGAGGCAAAAGAATAATACCTTCCACTGTTCATAAACTCTATCTTGTGAGTACATTCATTCTGAATTACTGGAAGAAGAGTAAGCCATTTTTTGAAAAGAAGACACATAACAAGAACCCATAATACAAACATGCACACAAGAAAACAAATTATCAATAAATATGAAAAAAATTCAACTTTGGTTGTAATCAAAGAAATGTAAATTTAAATTGTGATACCATTTTTGGTCTAGTAAATTGGCACAGATTACAAAAACACTCACTACTGATGAGAGTGTGAGGAAGTGGGCATAGTCACACACTGTTAGGAATACACATTGGTACAAATTTTCAGTAGGGCAATTTAGTACAACATATCAGAAATTCTAAATATAAGACACACCATATAACCCAAAAAATATAATTCTAGAAAAGTAACCTGAGAATGTATCTGAACATTTGCAGAGAACATCATTGTATGCATACCTTTTGTACATTTTTTATAACTGTGAAAAACTTGAAATAACCAGTAACCAAAATGTCTTAACAAATAATGAAGTAAGCTACAGTGCATTTAAAGGTTGAGCTTCTATAATGCTATTAAAAATCACAGTATACAGTTTAGAAAAAGTTTTCAATAACTGTAAGCAATTAAACATCTCCAAGGGTTTTTACAAATTTTAACCTATCAGACATATGACTGAATTCACATATGGCTGTATATTCCAGTGCTTCTCAACCCTGTGAGCATCATCACAGAATCAACTAAGGATATAAAGGGTTAAGAACTCTGTGTGGGCTGGGCACAGTGGCTCAGGCCTATAATACCAGAACTTTGGGAGGCCAAAGCGGGTGGATCGCTTGAGCCCAGGAGTTCGAGACCAGCCTGGGCAACATGGCAAAAGCCTATCTCTACTAAAAATACAAAAATTAGCTGGGTGTGGTGGCTTGTGCCTGTAGTCCCAGCTACTTGGGAGGCTAAGGTGGGAGCATCACGTGACCTGGGAGGTTGAGGCTACAGTGAGCCAAGATCAGGCCACTGCACTCCAGCCTGGGCTACACAGCAAGACCCTGTCTGTGGGGGGGGAAAAAAAAAGAACTGTGTGTGTCTGTGTCTATATAGTCTAGAAATAGAAGACCAACAATTCTACAGAAAACCAGGCTAGACAGGAAGACAGTTCACACAAAAAGAAATGCAAATGACTTTTACACCTAAGAAGCTTGATCACACTCATATTAAAGACAGGCAAATTAAAATACATTGAGATACCATTTCTCACCCATCAGACTGACAAATACCCAATAATTTGACATTATACCTTTTTAATCAAGGCTACAGGGAAACTATTACATTGTTGGTGAGGTCATAAAATGGCACAACCCCTATACGGAGAGTAATTTCAAATATACAGCAATACCTACAAAGCTACATATACATTTACCTTTTGCCCTAGCAACTGCAAGTACAGAAATCTATCTCAAAGATACACTATCAAAATTACGTAAGCACAAGCTATTGTTTGCAGAGCTATCTGTAACAGCAAAAGAATGGTAACAACAGTGAACTGGTATCTATCCAGTGAAGCATAAGCAGTTAAAAAGAAATAGGCAAAATTTCTATCCGCATCTCTAGAATAAAATTTTAAGTTAAAAAAAAGGTGGGGGAAAAGTGTGACTAATAAGCTACAATTTAATCCAAGTGGAGGGAGAAACAAATATATGCCAAAATAAATACAAATAGCTTGTACCTTTAAAAAAAAAAAAGGAAGAAAGGGACATAAAATTGAAAAAGTTTTTAAAAAAGTATTCCAGGCCGGGCGTGGTGGCTCATGCCTGTAATCCCAGCACTTTGGGAGGCCAAGGCGGGCAGATCACCTCAGGTCAGGAGTTTGAGACCAGCCTGGCCAACATGGTGAAACCCCATCTCTACTAAAAATATAAAAATTAGCCAGGCACAGTGGCAAGCGCCTGTAATCCCAGCTAATGGGGAGGCTGAGGCAGGAGAATCACTTGAACCCAGGAGACAGAGGTTGCAATGAGTCAAGATGGTGCCACTGCACTGCAGCCTGGGCAACACAGTGAGACTCCAACTCAAAAAAAAAATTAAAAAAAAATTTTCCTAGGTCTGCCACAGTGGCTCATTCCTATAATCCTAACACTTTGGAAGGCAGGCAGATCAGTTGAGCCAGGAGTTCAAGACCAGCCTGGGTAATATAGTGAGACCCTTGTCTCTACAAAAATTAAAAAAAATTAGCCAGGTGTGGTAGCACACACCTGTAGTCCCAGAGTCCCAGCTATTCAGGAGGCTGAGGTGAAAGGATTGCTTCAGCCTCAGAGGTTGAGGCTGCAGTGAGCTGTGATCACTCCTCTGCACTCTAGCCTGGGTGACAGAGCTAGACTCTGCCTCAAGAAAAAAAAAAAAAAAAAGTGCTATTTTATTAAGAGGGAGATAAGACAGTAAAAGAGACAAACAAATTAGACTTATCCAAATATAGTTAGCTTTACAGATTTAGTTTTGGAAGAGATTTTATATAATTATAAAATAAAAGGTAAATTTTTAAAAACTAAAAATTGAAAGATAAATGAAACAAATGAACCTAACAATATATATGCAGCTGGTGGTTAGGACCACATAAATTGAATTACAAATGTACAGGAAACACAAGGAACAGAGAAACATAAAACCCCACAAGGATGCAATCAGCAATATCCAGAATGTGGCAAATGCTACAGGACAGAGGATCAGTTTCCTAAACAAATTATAAGGAAAATGATGAGATGGAGAGAGAACCTAGGGATTTAAAAAGTTTTATAAGTGACATATGAACCAATTGGAATAGATGGACTTTATATAGCCCTTGCTTTGAACAATGCTGTTTATTTTTTTTTAAAAAAAGGGAAACAATCAGGAAAACCCAAACACTGACCAGATATTTGATGATATGAAGGAATTTCTGTCAATTTTTCCAGATGTGATAATGGTATTGTGGTTTTGTTTAATTCTTACCTTTTAGAGGGACATACTTTAGTATGTCACCTGGGAAATTTTTTTTTAAAACTAATTTCTGGGGCTCACAGATATAACTGACCTGGTATTGGGCCCCGATATCATTTTATTAAAACTGCCACAGATGATTCTAATGAGCAGCCAGGCTTTGTAAACTATTGATCTAGGGTAAGTTAAATCAACAAAATAAATAAAACCTCACCTAGGTATTAATCAAACTGCATGCCTCCAAAAGTACTCTTCCTGAAGACTGGAATCTACATATATTATTAACATTAAAGGATAAAACTGACATCTCTGAATTCTACTGTGCTTATTTTTAAGGTACTTGTAACGATTAAATAAATGTTTACTTAGCTCTCAAATTTACATAGCTACCTAAACTAAGCAAACTTTTCTTGACTACCTATACATATTGAACAAACCGAGAACAACAATGGCAAAACCCTTAAGTGTTCACATGCGGGACAATTACGACTAGTAACAATTATGATCTATAAACATACTTATCAAGAGATTAATGAGAACACATCTTCAATAAAACAAATGGACTGCAGTGCTACAAATCTGAACTACAGAAGAGGTTACCTAGGGTGCATGAGACAACTTCTTTCCAATTTAGTCTTATTTCTCTTATCTCGCCTTTTCAAAACTTGTACACAACCAGTGCAGGAAAAACAGGCAAGATTTCTATCCCCCTTACTGATCATTTTCCCAGCGGAAAACCCTGAATAAACCCACCTTAGATAGGAAGATAAGCAGAAAAGGGCTAATTAAATCTATCTATCTAAATATATGTAAATAAAAATCTATATAGACGCAAATAAATATATATATAAAAGATATATATACATATAAAAGCTCAGGAAAAAAAGTTATCACATTGAGCTTTTGTGTTTAGTTACCCATCCAGAAAGGCTTTGTGGCAGAGTGATATATTCCAAAATGCTTTGAGATCAGGGAAAAGATAGCTACTTGCCTCCAGAAGTTTGGGATTATGTTTCAACTGTTATCTTATATGAACACCACTAAATTTGAACAGGTCTAGTTCTTTAGGGTTGAGGTACAAAGTGCCTGAAGAAAATTATCATAGTAAGAGAATATACAGCTTTTTAGAGGAGGCCATTTAAGGAAAAAATGATGACCTCAGCTAAATGGGAACTTGGCTTTTCTTTATCTGTATGTAAGAAGGAATAAACTTGAGGTCTGAGAGAGAAAGTTGGAAGAGTAGGAAAAAAGTACACGGGGGAACAAAGAGGACAAATTATTAGACAGCGAGAATACTGAGTAAGTAGGTTCCATCAGTAGGAGAGAATTACCAGTTAAGTAAGCAACTCAAAGTTGCGATTAGACAGGATAGATGTTTTATAAATATTTGCTAACTAGCATATGAGTATTAAAACTAGGTAAACACTGTATTCCAATTAAATCTAGTTTGACTTGTAATTCTAGTTTAAACCTTTTCTGGGGCTTTTTCAGCCTTTTCATATCTACAGGTATTCTCTAACATATTTTCCAGATTTTTATGCCTTTACATTTGCTTAGAAAGATAATTATACAAAATGCTTAGATTTTAGTTAAATCTAGATTCTATTTGGGAAAAAACTCATATTTAACAAGATTAGGTTTTTCTATAAAAAGCATGAGTTATTCCAAAATAAATTATTTCTTCTTCATAACTTAGCTTTACAACCAAACCATACCATTTGAGGAAAGTGCATCTGATATAGTTTGCCTGTTCAGTGTCTCAACTTTTCTTTACAATATCTTAAGATTTTTGCCCTTTTTTTTTGATTTCCTAAAAGTGCACACAATTCATAACTCAAGCCATTTTGTGGATAAGATTAGTATCCAGTCTTCTTAAGGAGAGAGTGGTCTCTAATAATGGTATTATTCTAACACTTCTAGAAGGAAAAATGTATCACAGTGTATAATGAAATCACCAAGAAACAACACTATACAGAATATTTTCCTCGATACAGAAGTCATTCACTGTTGTATACTTATAAGAAGTGGCAATAAGACACTCTATCATTTAATATTACAATGTTTATACACAACTTTTTGTTCTCAAAAGTACTTTGACATGCCATTTAGTTTTTTACAGTGCTTTTTCCGAAAAGGTCCAAGTGACAAAAGAAAAGAAAGAACTATTTCAAACACAAATATTAAACATTTAATGGGATATGGCGGAATAAGCACTGGAAGTCAAGAGACTTGTTTCTAATCCCAGCTCTGCCTGTAACTAGCTGTGTGACTTCATATGCGTCACTAAATCGTTTCTTAAATTGTAAAGAAAGTAGTTCTTAATGTTTAAATCTGAATTTCTAAAAATCTACTACAATTAAGGTACTTTCAAATATTACATTATAATTAACAGCCCAATTAAATATAAGCCATTTTGCCATACGTGTTTAGTCCTTCGCTTTTGTCTCAATTTGACCTGAAGCCTGGATCAATTAGTCTGCACACTCAAGACGTACTCTGGGGCAAGAGGGACTAGGGAAAGATTCTTTTAAGATGGGATGATGCTGAGCAGGTTAGGCAGTTAGGAATGAATGCATATTCAAATAAGGCGCAATGAAGAAGAAATCTGCTTCCATGGGGAAATACGTTGCAATAAGATTTGAGGGAGGCCTTGAGCTGAGATTGTCAGGTAACCACACCTTCCACCCTTCAAACTCTATTCTCCCAGTGGAATCCAAACCAGTCTCCAGTTCCGGGTTCCCAACCAATCGCATCAAGCCACAACAGAGGGATCTGCCAACCCGGGCACCGCTTCAGGGATCTAGACCCAGTGAGAGTCACACAACCCCAGCACCTGTCGACCTCACACTCTTCCCAAATGGAGAGGGTGGGAAGGAACGCTAGGTCTATGCTTGGTCTTTTCCGATTCAAGCTACCACCAGGTCCACTAGCCCTCGAAACCGAAACCCCCGGACTTCGGGGAGAAGGGGAAGCTCCTACGCCGTGACTACGTATCAGTCCCTCAGGGCTAATTCTCCCATTCTCCCCCGACACTGGTTTCTCAGGCCTCGGGGACTCCGCGCCTGGAAGCCGACAGGCGAGAGTGAGGGCAGCGGGGGAGGGTGCACTCCAAAACACTGCAGGAAAAGACGGAAAAGCAGGGGCAGGAGTAGCAGTGTTCCCCCTGGGCGAGGGCCGGAGGCCGTTCGTGCGTTTGTCGATGGGTCTGTCATTCCCTCACTCACCAGGAGCAGAAGGGAGCATCTGAGGTCGGGTAAGGATAGGAAGACGGCAGGATGCATGGTAACGCTGGGGTCCGTGACAGGGACAGGCGCTGGCGGCTGGGACTGGGCTAGGTTGGGTTGGGTTAGGAAAGGGCTGGGCTCCGGGAGCCGACGGCAGCGGAGGATTCTCCAGGCAGCGGCACCTCGTCCTCTCGACCCGGGCTCCAGCGGCGAACACCCGGGACAACTTCCAGAGAGGCCTCTCACACCCTCACTTCCGGGTCCTGCCCACCTCGGTGCACTTCGGGAAATGTAGTCCTGCACTAGCCTCACCCCGCACGTCGTCCGTCATCTAGAACTTCCTTTCCCATTGGGCTCTCGGCCCCGGTCCACTGAGTCCTCTGCGCGCGGGGTCCTGTGGGATAGAAGGGCGGAGGGCGGGTGTACGCGGTGCTTCAGAGGATGGGAACTACAATTCCCAGAAGGATGTGCGGCCGAAAGCCTCGGGCGGCCTTTTGAGGGGCTCGGCTAGCTTCAGCGCCGTGGGGTCTGACCTGGCTGGATATAGTGTACCGGCCCGGCAGGAGGGGCGGCCCGGTCCGGGTTGCGCCTCCTGGAGCCGCCCCCGGGACGTCAGTCCTGGAGGAGGCGAGGGTGAGTAGGAGGGGGCCTGGCTGGGGAGGCTCAGATCATTCGGTCCGCACCGCCTTGGCCCCTGCTGCAGACTCACGGCCTTCCTGGCCTAGGCTGTGGCCTGAGCCTCCATCATTGGCCTCCTCGCCCGCTGCCTCTTCTTTCTGCTCTAATTCCTGCATTATAAAGTCAGAGCCACCACTCGGGGCCTCAGTTGAATGAGTCAATGACTTATCCCTGATTGTCTCTGAGGGCTCCTGTAAGGAGTAGATGTGGTACGGGATGGGATAGCACGTCGTAAACTGGAAAACTGTGTGAGTGATTGCTGCTAAGGCGTGGATCGCTCCTCCAGTATAATTACGAAATTCCCTAGCAAAGCAGTCGAGGATCCTAACTTGGCCCCAGGTAGCTCTGCGGCTTCTTCTGCAAACACTCAGTGAGGTCCAGGAGCCCACGCGATCTCTGCTTAGTACCCAGGAGGCACACTGTGCTTTTGTGGTTCTCCCTGCTCCCGCCTTTGCTTCAGCTTTCCTGCTGCCTGGAATGGCCTTACCCGTTCTCTCTCTGGAATGCTATCTTAAATGTCACCATCTCTGAGAACTTCCCGAACAACCAACCCTTTAGTCCTAATCAGAATTACTCTTCCTATGAGTGTGACTGCAGTACCTCTAGTTTTGTACGGTTATAATTATTAGAGCATTTATTACACGGGCTTGTTGTATAATTAGGCAAGGATGATGACACCTTTGCATTTTATAGCACTTTATCAAAGTGGTTTTGACTTTTTTCTATAAAAAATGATTTATTTTCTTAAAGGGGCAAAAAATACATTTTTTCTTAAGAAAAAAAAAGAGCCCTGCATAATGGCTTTCTCAGGGTGACAAAATTAGACAGTGATAGAGCCAATACTCTTACCAAGGCGGCCTAACTCCTAGACTAGTGCTCCTATCTCTTGTCCACGCCCCTGACAGAGCCCAAAGATAGTTGAAATGGGAAATTTTAAAAGAGCAGAGACTTGTAAGTATGAACTCATTATTCAAGAAATTAAACTTTGATCCTGCTCACTTTTTGGACTTAGCACTCAGCCTGTGACCTTTCATCCAACAAACATCTACTGAGTACTGGCTATATACCTGTTACTGTGCTAAGTGCTAAGAATTATGAAGTAAAAAGTATATATATATAATATATATAATATATGTACATATAATATATATAATATATGTATATATAATATATATATTATATATGTATATATAATATATATATTATATATGTACATATAATATATATATTATATATGTACATATAATATATATATTATATGTACATATAATATATATATTATATGTACATATAATATATATAATATATGTATATATAATATATATTATATATATAATATATGTATATATAATATATATAATATATGTATATATAATATATATATAATATATGTATATATAATATATATATTATATATGTATATATAATATATATTATATATGTATATATATTATATGTATATATATAATATATATAATATATATACATATATATTATATATATAATATATATTATATATATAATATATATGTATATATAATATATATATTATATGTATATATATTATATATATTATATATGTGTATATATAATTTATATATGTATAATATATACACACACACACATATATATAAAACAGAGATCACATTTTTAGTGTATTTTTCAAAGGGTATAAAGAACTTTTTTTGTGGTTCTGATGTGCCTAAAACTCTGATCACTTAGAATGAAAAATGACAGGTCTTAGAGTTTAGAACAGTGCCTAGCACATAGTTGTCACTCAGCTTGTTGAATGAACGAATGTGAACATGGTCTAACCTTATTATTTTTTGCATTTTACAGAAACCTAGAAAGCTGACATAGCCTGAGGACACACTGCTGATTATAAATACAACTGGGCCTAGAACCCAAGTGCAGTTACTCCCCTCCCATGTTTTCACCTCCACCTCTATTTTGTAGCTTCTCTCAAATAACCTTAATATAATCCTGGATATGACAGTAGTTCTTCTGACATGACTGTTAGACTCAGACATGACTGAAGTGTCTCACAACACCCTCTTCCTCCATATTTTCTGCCAGTCCTTAACTCAAATTGTCAGCAAAATAAAGACGTAAGGAGCTGTGCTTTACCATAATTAAGAAAGTATTAATATGTTCTCTCAAGGGCAGAATTTGAACCAATAATCCTTGTCGATGACAAGACAAATACCAGCTCATCCGTTATAAATTTATCTTAGAAAACTCTCAGATCCCCAGGAGTAACAGCGATTGGCGTGACCTGCTTTTTGGTGAAATCAGAAAAGGACTTGCCTACCCTCATGGCAGCAATTAACTGGAGCTGATTAACAGCTGCTCCCTTTAGATAAGTACATATGCTTGAGTTTACCGTGATTCTGTGACTCCCTACGTTTCTAACAGTTGTTACCTCTCTGGTCCTTGTAGGCATTCAGCTTTGGAACTTTGATAAAGCAGCTTAAGGGTTTAGGAAGGATGTTTAAGATCACTGATGCAACTATTCATCTTTCCTTCCCATCAGGTGTTTGAATTGTTGCTGCATTTCTCCAGCCTCTGCTTTCTTAAACACTCTTGTGATAGGGATCTCACTATCTTCCTATGCGGCTGATACTTATTTTTTATTTTATTTTATTTTTTTTGAGACAGGGTCTCCCTCTGTGCCCAGGCTGGAGTGCAGTGGCATGATCTTGGCTCACTGCAACCTCCATCCACCTCCCAAATTCAAGCAATTCTCCCACCTCAGCCTCCTGAGTAGCTAGGATTACAGGTGTGTGCCACCACAGCCCAGCTAATTTTTGTGTTTTT
This sequence comes from Homo sapiens, assembly GCF_000001405.40. NCBI lineage: Eukaryota > Metazoa > Chordata > Mammalia > Primates > Hominidae > Homo > Homo sapiens. The sequence continues at coordinate 100,102,279 of NC_000009.12, forward strand.
AGTAGGGACGGGGTTTCACCATATTGGTCAGGCTGGTCTCTCAAACTCCTGTCATATGTTTTTAAAAGGTTCTTACAAGCTCCATGAGACTACCGGTCAGAACAAAATTGTCCTTATTGAAATATGGTTCATTTTAGTGATACGATGTTCCAAGTAAGATCTTATGGTTAAGACCTCTATCTAGGTATATTTTCCTGGTGGACCAAGGAGAGAACAAATAAAAATTTCACTTTTTGTGAGAATGACGGCAAGACCTAGATACCTTTTAATTTAGTATTTAGCCAGGTGTGATGGCACATGCCTGAAGTCCCAGCTATTCAGGTGGCTGAGGAGGGAGGATCGCTTAACTCAGGAGTTTCAGGCTGTAGTGCGCTATGCCATTCAGGTGTCCACTTTAAGTTTGGCATCAATATGGTGATCTCCCAGGAGTAGAAGACCACCAGGCTGCCTAAGAAGGAATGAACTGGTCCACGTCAAAACTCCTATGCTGATCGTAGTGGGATTGCACCTATGAATAGCCACTGCCCTCCAGCCTAGGTAACATAGCAAGATCCCATCTCTTTAAAAATAGTTTTTTAACTAATTTTTTTTTCAGATGGAGTCTTACTCTGTTGCCCAGGCTGGAGTGCAGTGGTGCGATCTCAGCTCACTGCAACCTCCACCTCCCAGGTTCAAGCAATTCTCCTGCCTCAGCCTCCTGCATAGTTGGGATTATGGGCACGCGCCACCACGCCCAGCTAATTTTTGTATTTTTAGTAGAGACACAGTTTCGCCATGTTGGCCACGCTGGTCTCGAACTCCTGACCTCAGGTGATCTGCCCGCCTTGCCCTCCCAAAGTGCTGGGATTACAGGCGTGAGCCATCACACCCGGCCTTAACTAATTTTTTTATTTTTTTCTGAGTCAGGGTCTCAACCTGTTGCCCAGTCTGGCATGCAATGGTGTGATCTCAGCTCACTGCAAACCCTGTTTCTCAGGTTCAAGTGAAACTTCCACCTCAGCCTCCCGAGTAGCTAGGATTACAGTGCATGCCACCATGCTCAGCTAATTTTTAAAAACTTTTGGTAGGCAGGGCATGGTGGCTTATGCCTGTAATCCCAGCACTTTGGGATGCCAAGGTGGGCAGATCACTTGAGATCAGGAGTTCGAGACCAGCCTGGCCAACATGGTGAAACCCCGTCGCTACTAAAAAATACAAAACTTAGCCGGTCGTGATGGCAGGTGCCTATAATCCCAGCTACTGAGGAGGCTGAGGCAGGAGACTTGCTTGAGCCCTGGAGGCAGAGGCTGCAATGAGCTGACATCGCACCACTGCACTCTAGCCTGGGTGACAGAGCAAGACCCTGTCTCGAAAAGACAAGAAGGGAGGAAAGCAGGGGGAGAGGAGGGGAGGAAAGGAGAGGCGAGGGGAGGGGAGGGGAGGCGAGGGGAAGGGAGGGGAGGGGATGGGATTTGTAGAAATGAGCTCTCGCTATATTGCCCAGGCTGGTCTCAAACTCCTGGGCTCAAGAAATTCTCCTGTCTTGGCCTCACAAAGTGCTGGGATTACAGGCATGAGTCACCATGCCCAGCCCTAATTAATTTTTTTAAGTTTATTTAGTGCTTAAATCCAGCTAATTCTGACTTCACAATTGAGTTTATGTTATACTCTTTTTGTGGATCGGGCTCACTTTTATTTGCAATATCAATTCTAATGTTTAATATTATGTGGCATCATATTACTTGTATTAACTTAGATTATGTGGCATCATATTGCTTGTGTCACTGTAACCCTGAGCCCTGTGCCTAATGTTAAATATTGTCTTTGTTTTTTCCTCAGATAGTCCCTAAGAAGAGTCCTAGAAGCACCTACCCTCTCATTTTACAGATGAGCAGATGAGCAACTTGTACAAAAGTCACCTAATTTGCCACCTAATGCCAATTCCAGGACTAGGACTATAGCTTTTTTTCTTTTGAGACAGGTCTCACTAAGATAGACAGCCTCACTATCTTGCCCAGGCTGCTCTCAAACTTCTGGCCTCAAGCAATCCTCCTGCGTTGGCCTTCCAAACTGCTAGTATTACAGATATGTACCACTGCACCCAGCCAGGACTATAGATTTTTCTAATCCTAGTCAAGTATTTCTAGTAAGCCATATTTATAAAATACCCACTTGGAACTGATGAGACAGGTTTCAGAAATGTTTGCTGCATGCGCTCATTGTCTGAATCATTGTTTCAGGTTGCTCCGGTTGCTAAGAAGACTATGAACAAGTCAGAGAACCTGCTGTTTGCTGGTTCATCATTAGCATCACAAGTCCATGCTGCTGCCGTTAATGGAGATAAGGGTGCTCTACAGAGGCTCATCGTAGGTAAGCAGTCCCCTTAAGTACAGAAACTTTAAAAGCAACTGTTTGTCCTGAGGAAGTTTGTTAATGTTAGTTTTAATTTGCAATGTACTCATACATTTTAATGGAAATATGTTATTATTTATATTTTCTTCCAACACATGAACAAGAAAGGAATTAAGTCCTAAAACTTAAAAATATGGGTTAGGATTAGGTGAAAAGTACTTGAGAAATTTCTATGTATTTAGCACTAAGTCTAGATAGATATTCTAAGGTACTAAGGGAATGAATTCATCTTTATGTTAACAGATCTCGAATGAAACAGTGGATAATCTTTTAACATTTAATATATACCCAAAGTATTAAAGTTTACAAATGATTTAATTTTTAATGATTTAAAATTGATTCAATGTTCCCCCTGTGATTTGCATATATAAGTGATATATAGAGAGGTCCAATGCAGGAGTTCTAGAGGAGAGAATAAAGAGAACAAAGAATAGCTAAGAATTTTCTAGAACCTTAGCTTCCTGCTAAAGCAGAGCAAAGATCCATCTTTCTATCACAAATCCAGATATTCACAAGTTGCAAATCCCAAAGAGAAAAAAATAAAAATATATTATTTGTAGTCTTTATTCACACCAGTGTCTGATGACATCATGATTGACAACTTGGGCTACAAAATAAAGTCCAAATTACTTGAACTTTCATACCTGTTCCTTCCGACTTTGTTTTTACCCTACATTTGCAGTTTCTCCAGGAACTTCTACTGGTGTACCGTAACCTCTGGCTAAGCTAGAGGTTACTTCTATTTCCCAATAAGCCATGAATTTTGTCTCACTTTCTCCATATGTTCTGTTTCCCCACCTTTTTTCTATCTGCTACTCTGTTAACCTTCTTCTGTGCTAAACAAACTCCTACTTATCTTTAAAGACAAAACTATTGTATCTCACACTCTGTGAAGATTTCTCTTCCTCTGCTTATCCTTACTTTACCTCAGCTATCTACATTCACTGGAACTTGACATTTTCCACCACCTCCAAATCACTCAAACATTCTACCATTCAACTAAAACTCTTACTTTCAGCTCACTTACTGATGACAAACAATAGTTTTCCATGCTCACTGAGACCTCCAATCCACTAGCTTCTCTAGTTTTGACCATCAGTTTTCCTTCTGTCTTTTCCTTCCTCACTACTCAGCCTTGATTCTATGTCTGTTATTAAAATCCTTCTCTTGGAAAAATTCCCTTTTTTTTTTTTTTTTTTTTTTTTTGCCTTCTGTTGCACTTGACTGTTGCATTCTCAACTCTGGATGTACCAAACCTATCTTGCTAAGCAGTTGAATCCAGCTGAAAGATTGATAGCACCCCAAATTCATGATTACCCACTTCAAATAGGCACTCAGTACTTACTACTCATCATACCACATTTTTTCTGTAATGAATGTTTCATACCTCTCACTCTACTGAATCCTGTGACTGCCAGTTCCCCCTCCTTTCATTCTCTTTAATGCAGTAGGCTTACTAGAGGAAATGAAGACATTAAGTAGGAACTCCCTCATCTTTCAGTATGGTATCTACAAATCTACCTCGATCTGTACCCATCTTCTCTCTTCATCTTCCTGCTAAAACAGAGCAAAGATCCATCTTTCTGTTAAAGGCCAGTTCTTCCACACATGCTCTGTGTTCCATCCCCTCCTGTCTTCTCAGGGACATTGCTTCTTTTTTTCCCCCTCTGATTACTATATCTTCAACCTTTCTTCTATGCTAAATTCTTTCCATCAACACTTAAACATGCTTCATTGTTTCCATTATTTAAAAATCCCATCTCTGTTTCTTCATCTCCCTTTAGGTATTGCCATTTTCAACTTTCCCTCACGACTGCATTAGCGCACAGGCTAAACTGCTACAACCATGACTTGAATAAGATAGAAGTATATTTCATTCTCATAATATTGCAATCCCAACTCTAGATGGACCAAACCTATCTTCCTGGCAACTACTAAGCAGTTGAACCCAGCTGTGTAATAGTACACAGTTATGTGGGCAGTCTAGGTTAGATAGATATCTCCATTTCACAAAACCATTTAGGTATACTGCCAGGCCTTGGTTCTTCCATTCTCAACATGATGCTTCTATTTCTGGGTCAAAGGCAGATACGTTCATTATAGTCATAGCCCAGTCAGCAGGAAGGAGGAAGAGAGAGCACAGGGAAAGCAATTTGTCAGTAAGGAGGTAGACTAGACTTAGACCACAAAGCCACACCTAGAACAAAAGAAGCTGAAAAAAAAAGTCTTGCCCTGGATGGTATCATGCCCAGCTAAAACTCACGGTGCTCAATTGTTGAAAAGAAGAATGAAAGAATGAATGGGGGGCAAATATTGCTGTCTGTCACCAAAACCAAGATTCTTGGGCCAGCTGTACCCATTGTCCACACTTATTTACCTTAATTCACTCTTTTATTAAAACAAAATATACTTTCTTATTTTGAAGTATACATATAGAGAAGTGCATACAACTTATATGTACAATTTAACAAATAAACATAAAGCAAACATCCACTTAAACCACCTAGGTTAAGGAGCAGCACATTGTCAGTAACCCCAGAAGCCCCTAATGCATCCTTCTCTCCCCACTAGAGGAATAGGCTATCTTGACTTTTATAATAATCATTACATTGTGGTTTTACCACCTACATATACATCCTTAAACACTTTAGTTAATTTTGCCATTTTTGACTTTTTGCTAAATGTTCCATGTTCACTTGAACTAAAAAATGTATGTATATTACATTTTTGTCATTTTCCTGCTCAAAATTCTTTCATTATTCCCATTATACTTGGAATAAAATTTGACAGGTTACTTGTATCTCTTTACCTGTCCATCCTCACGTTTTACCTCACGTGGTAAAACTTGCCTTCTTTCAGTGTCTCACACCTGCCAAGCCCTTTTTCATCTCAGGGCTTTTGCCTGAAACGCTGTTCTCCCTATTCTCTGTCTGAATAACTCTTAGTCATCCTTGAGATTTCAATTTTAAGGTCACTTCTTCAAAGAGGCCTGCTAACCATCCAGTCTCAATGAAATCTGTTCATTGTATTCCCTCTTGGCCCTCTGTAGTTTTTCTTCATAGAACTTGTTTCAGATTATCACTGTATATTTATGTGTATGAATATTTTAACATCTCTCTCCTCCATAAGCTAGTGGCCTTCATGAAAGTAGTCTGGGTCTGTTTAATTCATCACTAAATCCACAAAATCCAGCACAGTACTTGGCACATAAGAAATATATTTGTTGAAGGAATGAATAAATATTTTAATCATTCTTTAAGTATCTTTTCTCCCAAGTAGTCTATAATCATCTTGAGGGCCAGGACTAAAAATGAATTGAGTTGAATTAAATTGAATTGAGGAGCAGATTGGGACTAAATTCCATGAGAAAAAAAAATTTTAAGTCAGGACGTATGAAGAAAAAGTACCAAGTAAAATGAATTCATTAATGCTTTAATTAAAAATATAACCTTCAAAGAAAAAAGTGCAGTATGTTATAAATTAAAAACACTTATATTTTTATGGCTCAGTCATACAGATTAATTAATGTGTTATTATTAAAACCTGAAACCTTGAAAATCCCCAAAGAGAAAATCCTTAAAAACCAAAAAGCAATCATGATGTGAAGCCAGTAGGTAGCTAATAAACTTATTTATAAATTGTTTTTCTGTTTTCTATCATCTTGTCTGAGGAACTTCTTATTAATTACTGACTGAGGGTGCCACTCCTCATCTTTTAAGAATTGTGCCATTATGTTTTCTGTGTACCTTTGCTCTAGAGTATTTTCCAGCATTTGTATATTTGTGCAAAAATAATAACTGTTTCATCTTAAATTTCAATGTAATTTTTTTTCTATGCATATGAATGCCAGGTGGTAATTTCAATGTATTTTAAACATCTTTTTATGTATCACATATTTGATGATCTCTAAATATATGCTATTTCTCTTTTCTAAACTAGTGACATAGTACTACAGATGAATTTTTTTTCTTGAATCCTTGTTCACCAACTGCTCAGTGAATTCATTCACTTTAGCATTTTCTGTTTTCCCCTCTCTGTTTCCATGGAGAAGTATGTCAGTGATGTGTTTGACTCCATGGAAACAGATGAGTGTCTCTTTCTACATACACAACGAATTAAATCGAACACTTTCTGTGCTGCCCATTGTCCTGGAGGAGGACTGGAGAGGCCTTCTCTGAATGAAACATCATTTCAGTAGCAATTCTTAGTGTTTAACCTAATACAGTGGATTAATGTTTTACCATAACTTACTGCTTCTAGATTCAGATGTATTAGGGCTTACTTCTGAGCCTTAAAATATAAACATACATAGTAAAATCTGAATATGCTATGGTTCTCATTTATAGATATTTAGCTTTTTCTCTTAACACCAAACTCAAATAATTTGAATGAATACTAGAAATGTAATTGAGAACAGAATTTAGTAGATTCATTTTAATACTATACAGTGTAGTATTGGTAGAAAAAAGTATAGATTTTAGAGTCAGATAAACCTGAGTTTTAAGTTCTAACTGTTATTTATTAGTAGTAATATCTTGGCTAAGCCATTTAATTTTTAAGCCTCAGTTTCCTCATCCGTAAACTATAGATTATAATATTTCACTTGTGTGAGAGTTAAATGAAATAATGACAGTAAAATATCTAGCATGGTACTTGACACATAGTAGACAATAAGTTAATATCCTATTACTGTTATTGTTATGTCAGCTTAGACTAAAATAATCAAGTTTTTCATAGCTTCAGATGTCTCAATATGAAAGAGCACTAAATGCAACAAAGATTAATATTGTGGGTTTTTTGTGAAAACTAAACAAAATAATTTGTAAATATGCATGGTGTGTAATGATCAATGTTGTCATTACTGCCAATAATATTTGAGGTCGCTTGCAGTGGTATCGTGACCAGGAAGCACCATTCTGATTCTACTACAACTTTTGTTTCACTGTCCATGTTCTGAGCAGCATAATCTCTCTAAATCATTTCCTCTACTTGTTTATTTATTTATTTATTTTTGAGATGGAGTTTCACTCTTGTTGCCCAGGCTGGAGTGCAATGGCGTGATCTCGGCTCACCACAACCTCTGCCTCCCTGGTTCAAGTGATTCTCCTGCCTCAGCCTCCCAAGTAACTGGGATTACAGGCATGTGCCACCATGCCCGGCTAATTTGTTGTATTTTTAGTAGAGACGGGGTTTCTCCATGTTGGTCAGGCTGGTCTCGAACTCCCGACCTCAAGTGATCCGCCCGCCTCGGCCTCCCGAAGTGCTGGGATTACAAGCCTGAGCCACTGCGCCCGGCCTCTACTTGTTTTTAACATCTTCTGACACAGTATTTAGATACGGAAGTGAGCCTCATAAATGACAGAGTAGAGGTACTATTTCAGGTTACTTCTTCCCTTACCTCAATCCCTACCTTAAAAGCTAGAGTCATTAAATGTTTTTAAAATGCTTGCCTACATGCAAATGTGTTTATAAATATACTTAAATGTTTATGCATCCATCCTAACAATAGTAATAAAATTAGCTAACATTTATAAAGTTATGTTTTATGTGCCAGCCACTGTATTGTTTGGCAACTCATTAACTTAACAGTGAAATAATATGAAGAGTTTGGGGTATTAGTATTACCCTCATTTTTAAATAAGGAAATTGAGATGCAGAGAGGTTAAGTAACTTGTCTAAGAAGTATCAGAACTGAGATTAAAGCCAAGAAGTCTGATTCCAGAGTCCATTCTTTTAACTGCTAAAGTATGGGACCTCAATGTATGGGTAGATATTTTTGTACACACGTGCACTTTCATATGTATAAATAAATAGGAATGAGAAAGATAAGAAAGAAAGAACCGATTAGGTGTGAACCTTGCATGATGAAATGAATGATTATCTAGATGGGATTTTTCTTAACATTTTTGTGCTATGGGCCCTTCTGGCAATCTGGTAAGCTTCTGGACTCCTCAGAACAAAAATATATGTATATTTTTAAGAGCTGAAATGCAATATAGAGGATTACAAAGGAAACCAGTTATATTGAAATATCAAATATTTTTAAGTTGAGACATAACAATATTCTGCCATAATTTTTTATGAATGTATTAAATAGCAAGGTGTTGGGGCAAGTCTTACAGCTATGATAATTTTGAAATAGCAGTGAGTGAAAATGATATTTTAACATACCTGCACAAATTATAAGTTATAGAAATATTTTATAAAATCTCAAGTCCTCTCAAAATACAGTATGTCTCATGTTATTATTATTCTCATTTTGCATGTTAGGACACTGAGACTCAGAAGTTGAGAAATTTAGTTGCACAGTTAATAACTGGCAAAGTTGAGCCTCAAACCAAATTATCTGATGATGAATCCTATGTTCTTTCCATTGTTCCCATGTTGTCACTCTATAACAATAAGCAGAGATTTTTTAATGACAGCAAAATGCCTTCCCAAGATTGTAACAGTATAAAATATGTAAAGTAAGAAGTGGGTGAAATCAGATGAAATAAATACATCTTGGATGCCATGCAAATATAACATTTTAGAACAAGCAAATAAGATACAAATAGAGACTACTCTTGTTACTTGTATTGGGCATTGTGTTGCTGTAGCTATTGTGCGGACTAGCACAACTATAACTGCAAGTGACAGTCATTTCCTCTAACTGCTAGAGTTGGCGCTCTGGTTTCTGCACATACCAGCCCATTAACCATATGTACTCTTATGCTTCCACAAGCCTTAAAATAACTGAATGCGGTAGAGCAGTGGCTTTCCAGTCATGCTTCCAGCTCAGCTTTCTGGACTGTGTTGAGACAGAGCACAGGCAGAATGCCAGCCACGTTGAGCAAGCACCAATTGGTCATGGATTAGAGGCCATCTCCACAGTTGCCAGAATAATTAGCACAACACAGCACAGTAGCCAGCTGCTTTCTATATTAACTGTTCCTGACAGGAATGCAAATTTAAATGCACTGCCATCCAGTGAATATTAGTTTACATCATAAGCTCTACGTTTGTACAACATGTTACAATTACCAAATATTTCCAAACAATACATTGTTTTATTGGATCATCAAACAAGTTGCGGTGTAGATTGGACAAGTATTAGCTGAATGTTATAAGTGAGGAAACTAAGGAAGAGAGTAGGGTGGATAGATAAAGGCACAGACCTCGCTCAGTTACTGGCCAGGAAGCCCAGAACCTAATGGTACCCTCATTATTCAGAAACTAGCCATGAAGCCACTGTCCCCCTAGAGCTACTCAAGACAGGACCTAAGTGAGGTTGAATGCTGCTTTTTCTAATCATTTAGGGGATATATACTTTCTTTCTTTCTTTCTTTCTTTTTTTGAGACAGAGTCTCACTCTGTCACCCAGGCTGGAGTGCAGTGGTGCAATCTCTGCCTTCCGGGTTCAAGTGATTCTCCTGCTTCAGCCTCCCGAGTACCTGGGACCACAGGTACATGCCACCATGCTCAGCTAATTTTTGTATTTTTAGTAGAGACAGGGTTTTGCTATGTTGGCCAGACTGGTCTCGAACTCCTGACCTCAGGTGATCCACCCGCCTCAGCCTCCCAAAGTGCTGGGATTACAGGCATGAGCCACCACGCCCAGCCGGGGGATATATACTTTCAATTTCCTCAAATAGACAAATTTTGCCTTATAGGCACAAAATATTGGATTGTGGTGACATAACCCAATAACATCTTCTCTTCTGGGAAATACATATATCGGTTACAAAGAAACAATGTATGTCAGGGAACAAAGAGAAGGCTTGAAGTTTCCCTGTATCTTATATAAGACTTAGGAAGATGACAGGATTGACCTAAAGTTCTGTGTCCTTGAAGGTGAGTTGCCTATTAACCCCATGATGCTGACTCTGCTTTGACCCTGAGGAGCCTAATCAATTAGGACAGGGGTGTTCAAGCTTTTGGCTTTCCTGGGTATTGGAAGAAGAATTGTCTTGGGCTACACATAAAATACACTAACACTAACAATAGCTGATGAGCTAAAAAAAAAAAAAATCGCAAAAAAAAAAATCTCATAATGTTTTAAGAAAAATTATAAATTTGTGTTGGGCAGCATTAAAAGCCTTCCTGGGCTACATGTGGCCCACAGGCCACAGGTTGGATAAGCTCGAGTTAGGATTATCCCAGAATGTGAGATGGCCTCTGTTTCTCAGCACTTACTCTTGTGACCATAGTTCCTAATCCTCTCCTTTACTAAAGCTTCTAAGGAGGAATGTCTCTCTAGGCAGAAAGTGTAAATGAATTACTGTTATCTTGCTAATACTAGCTACTACTATCTTTGCTTAACCTAACAAGATGCCAGTAGAGACTGCCCTTTAATCATGAAAGACAACTAGAGACTAGTCTCATTATGGCATATTCTCTATAAGTATCACTGACTCCAGAAGGACTCAAACTGATAAAAGGAACATGCTCTTATACTACATTTTAGTTCTGTTAATGAGTTTCAGTTTAAATAAATCTTTATCTATAAATACAGTGATAGAATCTTTGGAATCTTCTAGATTAGATATTGAAGGCTCTAGTACAAAGAATATACTGTTGTACTACACAGAGTCTTGTGCATAAGGGCTTCTGTTATTATATGTGTTGAATCCAATGCAAAATTTGCCTCCATCTTCAAAAAAGTTCTGAAAAAGAATATCTGCCTCCTCTAGGAGTTACACACAACCTGAATACATCTGTAAGGCTCTTTCAAATTTCCAGAGCAATGACCTTTCTTGCTTTTTACCAGCGAAGTAAATTGCTGAAAAGCTAGGAAGTCTTTCTGGGTTCCAGCGTATCCAAGATTAAAATATATGTCGAAGTATTGCAAACTAAAACAGTAGCTTAGTTTCATGCCCAAAACAACCCAGGCATTTATCTGGTGTCTTTTTTGTTTGTTTGTTTGTTTGTTTGTTTGTTTGTTTTAGTTTTAATTGATACATACTAATTGTATGTGTTTATGGGGGTGGAGTGTGATGTTATAATACATGTATAGATTGTGTAATGATCAAATGATGATATTTAGCATATGCATTAACTCAAACATTTATCATTTCTCTGTGGTGAGAGCATTCAAAATTCTAGCTATTTTGAAATATGCAATACAGTATTGTTAACTATAGTCACCCTACTGTGCAATAGAACACCAAAACTTATTCCTTATATCTAACTGTACCCATTGACATTTCTAGCATTCTATTTTCCAAAGAAAACACTTTCATTTTGTCTATTCACTTCCTCCATTAGCACAGTTCAGGCCAAGATACCTTGGAAGTAACTGGCTTCCCTCTTGTTCAACCCAGATGTAATTACCCTCAGCTAGTAAGAGATGAATACTTGATGATTATCTGTAACAAAAGTGGCAACATTTTTTTCACTTACAATACATAGCTGGAGCCATGGCATCTTTTGTAGTTATTGTTTTTAACTAAAATTTATTGAGGTATATAATACAGTAAATTTCACCCTTGTTCGTATACAGTTATTTAATTTTGAGAAATATATAATCATGTGATCACCATGACCATCAAGATAAAGAACAATTCTATCATGCCCCAAAATGTTAGAACTGTGTCCTTTTATAGCCAGTTTCTCCCCACATTCCACATATTCCAGTCCCTGGTAACCACTGGTCTGTTTTCTGTCTCTATAGTTTTAACTTTTCCACAATCCTATGCCAATGTGTCACATGATATATATGCCCTTTGAGGCAGATTTCTTTCTTTTTTTTTTTTTTTTTTTTTTTTTTTTGAGACAGAGTCTCACTTTGTCTCCCAGGCTGAAGAGCAGTGGTACAATCATGACTCACTGCAGCCTCAACCTCCTAGGCTCAAGCGATCCTCCCACCTCAGCCTCCTGAGTAGCTGGGACTACAGGCATGTTCCACCATGCCCAGCTAAGTGTGTGTGTGTGTTTTGTAGAGATGGGGTTTTGCCATGTTGCCCAGGCTGGTCTCAAACTCCAGGCTTCAAGGGATCTTCCCCCCATCAGCCTCCCAAAGTGCTGGGATTATGGGCGTGAGCCACTGTGCCTGGTGAAGTGGATTTCTTTCACTTGACATAAGGCATTTGAGAATTTTCCATGTTGTTGAGTGGATCAGTAGTTCATTCCTTTTTATTAGTGAGCTATATTCCATTTTATGGATGTACTGCAGATTATTTTCTCATTTTGCAGTTTAAGGACAATTGGGATGTTTCCAGTGTTTAGCAATTATGAATAATGCTGCCGTAAATATTCACATACAAGTTTTTATATTAACTTAAACTTTCATGCTTTTATTTCTCCTGAGTAAACACTTAAGTGAAAAATTATTAGGCCATAATTATTAGGCTACAGTTTTAATAGTAGCTATACCATTTTGCATTTCTACCAACAATGGCTGAGAATTCTATTAATAGTTCTACAACTAGGTTCTACATCCTTAACAGCATTTGGTATTGTGAAGTTTGCTTTTGATTGTTTTCATTTTAGCCATTCTAATAGATGTGCAGTGGTATCGCATTATAGGTTAAGTTTACATTTCCCTGTGTGTTAATGATGTTGAGAGTCTTTTCATATGCTTATTTAGTGAAATGTCTATTAAAACCTTTTGGCCACCGTTTAATTTCTCTTTTTTTATTTTATTTTTATTTTATATATATATATTTTTATTATACTTTAAGTTCTAGGGTACATGTGCACAACGTGCAGGTTTGTTACATATGTATACATGTGCCATCTTGGTGTGCTGCACCCATTAACTCGTCATTTACATTAGGTATATCTCCTAATGCTATGCCTCCCCCGTCCCCCGACCCCACAACAGGCCCCAGTGTGTGATGTTCCCCTTCCTGTGTCCAAGTGTTCTCATTGTTCAGTTCCCACCTATGAGTGAGAACATGCAGTATTTGGTTTTTTGTCTTTGCTGAGAATGATGGTTTCCAGCTTCATCCATGTCCCTACAAAGGACATGAACTCATCATTTTTTATGGCTGCATAGTATTCCATGGTGTATATGTGCCACATTTTCTTAATCCAGTCTGTCATTATTGGACATTTGGGTTGGTTCCAAGTCTTTGCTATTGTGAGTAGTGCCACAGTAAACATACATTGTGCATGTGTCTTTATAGCAGCATGATTTATAATCCTTTGGGTATACACCCAGTAATGGGATGGCTGGGTCAAATGGTATTTCTAGTTCTAGATCCCTCAGGAATCGCCACACTGTCTTCCACAATGGTTGAACTAGTTTACAGTCCCACCAACAGTGTAAAAGTGTTCCTATTTCTCCACATCCTCTCCAGCACCTGTTGTTTCCTGACTTTTTAATGATCGCCATTCTAACTGGTGTGAGATGATATCTCATTGTGGTTTTGATTTGCATTTCTCTGATGGCCAGTGGTGATGAGCATTTTTTCATGTGTCTGTTGGCTTTTAATTTCTTTTCTTTCTTTTTTTTCTTTTTTTTTTTTTTGAGACAGGGTCATACTCTGTCACCTAAGCTGGAGTGCAGTGGTGCAATCTCGGCTCCCTGCAACCTCCGCCTCCCGGGTTTAAGTGATTCTCATGCCTCAGCCTCCTAAGTAGCTGGGATTACAGACATGAGTCCAGCCACTGCACCTGGCTAATTTTTATATTTTTAGTAGAGATGGGGTTTTGCCATGTTGCCTAGGCTGGTCTCAAACTCCTAGACTCAAGCAATCTACCTGCCTCTGCCTCCCAAAGTGCTGGGATTACAGGTGTGAGCACTGCACCCAGCCTAAGTTTCATTATCCATCTTATTATTCTATTGTAAAAGTTTTTATTTATTCTGGAATAAAAGGCCTTATCAAATATGTGTTTTGCAAATATTTCCTCCCAATTTGTGGCTTTTTAAAAATTTTTCTTAATTGTGTTTTCAAACACAATTTCTTTATTTGGATGAAATCTAATTTATTAATTTTTATGGATTATTCTTTTGTATCATATCTAAGAAATCTCTGCCTAACACAAAATCAGGAAGATTTTCACCTTCAATTGCTTCTAAAAGTTTTATATAGTTATAGGTTTTATTTATTTTTTATTTTTTTAACAGGCTTTATTCACTTTATTTTTCTTGTATAAAACCCTATGTTGTAGCCACAGCTGGAGCCTGAGTCCGCTGCACGGAGACTCTGGTGTGGGTCTTGACGAGTTGGTCAGTGAATTCCTGACAGGGAGACTTGGTAAATACAATCTTCCAGAGGTCGGGGGTCAGGTAGCTGTAGGTCTTAGAGATGGCATCAAAGGTGGCCTTGGCGAAGTTGCCCAGGGTGGCATTGCAGCCCCGGGCTGAGGTGTAGCAGTCATCGATACCAGCCATCATGAGCAGCTTCTTGGGCACAGGCGCCGAGACAATGCCAGTGCCCCTGGGTGCAGGGATGAGGCACACCAGCACAGAGCCGCAGCGGCCTGTCACCTTGCAAGGGACGGTGTGGGGCTTGCCGATCTTGTTCCCCCAGTAGCCTCTGTGCACGGGGACAATGGAGAGCTTGGCCAGGATGATGGCCTTACGGATGGTGGTGGCCACTTCCTTGGAGCACTTAACACCCAGACCGACGTGGCCGTTGTAGTCCCCGATAGCAACAAACGCTTTGAACCTGGTGCTCTGGCCAGCACGGGTCTGCTTCTGCACCGGCGTAACCTTCAAAATCTCGTCCTTGAGAGAGGCCCCCAGGAAAAAGTCAATGATCTCAGATTCATTAATGGGCAGGGAGAAGAGACAGATTTCCTCCAGGGACTTGATCTTCATGTCCTTGACCAAGCGGCCCAGCTTGGTGACGGGCATGCACTCCTTATCCTCGGCCTTGCCTTCTCGAGCTCCACGGCCTCAGCCCGGGCCCCGTCCACGGCCGCAACCCCGGCCCCGGATGCCACTGCGGAAACCTCCGCGGAAGCCACCGCGGTTCCCCATCCCAGGGCCACCAGGGCCTCCGGCCCCCCGCCCCCCCCGCCCACCTCCCGCTGCACCGGCGTTATCAGCCATTTGGTGTTTTCTCGGAGAAGAAGCAGTTATAGGTTTTAGATTTAAGTTTATGATACGTTTTGAGGTAATTTTTATATATGGTGCTATTATGGACTGAATATTTGTATTCCTCCAAAATTCATATGTTTGAAACCCTAACCCTCAATGTGATGATATTAGGAGGCGGGGTCTTTGGGAGATAATTTAAGTCATGAGGGTTTAGCCCTCGTGAATGGAATTAACACCCTTATAAAAGGAACCCCAGAAAGCTCTCAAGCCCTCTTTTTCATGTGAGGATATCAGAAGTCAGCAGTCTGCAACTCAGAAGAGAGGCCTCACCAGAACCTGATCATGCTGGCATCCTGATCTCAGACTTCTAGCCTCCAGAACTGCTAGGCACAGGTGCATACCACCAAGACAGATTTTTTCTTTTTTTTTCTTTTTTTTTTTTTTTAGATATGGGGTCTTGCTATGTTGGCCATGCTGGTCTTGAACCCCTGGCCTCACGTGATCCTCCTGCCTCAACCTCCCAAAGTGCTGGGATTACAGGCAGGAGTCACCATTCCCAGCCAATTTTTGTTGTTGTTGTTGTTGTTGAGACAGAGTCTTACTTTGTTGCCCAGGCTGGAGTGCAATGGCAATATCTCAGCTCACTGCAACCTCCACCTCCCGGGTTCAAGCGATTCTCTTGCCTCAACCTCCTGAGTAGCTGGGATTACAGACGCCCGCCACCACACCTTGCTAATTTTTGTATTTTTAGTAGAAACGGGGTTTCACCATGTTGGCCAGACTGGTCTCGGACTCCTGGCCTCAAGTGATCCGCCCGCCTCAGCCTCTCAAAGTGCTGGGATTACAGGCATGAGCCACCACACCCAGCCCCAATTTTTGTTTTTTATAAGCCTCCCAGTCTATGGTACTTTGTTACAGCAGCTTGAACTGACTAACATACAAAATATAGGTTGAAAGCTTTGGGTTTATTTTTGTTTTTGTATATGTTTTTGTTTTTGTATATGAATGCCAAATTTTTCCAGCACCATTTATTATTATTATTATATTATTCACTCCTGTTGCCCAGGCTGGAGTGCAGTGGCATGATCTCGGCTCACTGCAACCTCTGCCTCCCAGGTTCAAGCGATTCTCCTGCCTCAGTCTCCTGAGTAGCTAGAATTACAGGTGCCCACCACCACACCTGGCTAATTTCTGTACTTTTAGTAGAGATGGGGTTTCACCATGTTGACCAGGCTGGCCTCGAACTCCTGACCTCAGGTGATCCACCCACCTTGGCTTCCCAAAGTGCTCGGATTACAGGCATGAGCCACCATGCCTGGTCTTTCCAGCACCATTTATTTAAAAGATTATCTATTGGTTTGCCTTTGCATCTTTGTCAGAGTCAGTTAATCATGTCTGTGTGTGTCTATTTACATACTCTCAAATCTGTTCTATTGGTCTATAAGTCTATTTCTTTGCCACTACCACATTCTCTTCATTACTGTGGGTTTACAATATGCCTTGATATCATACAATGTGAGTTCTTCAACTTTGTTCTTTTTTTCAAAACCTTTTTATTCTTCTACTTCTTTTGCCTTTTCATAACAATTTTAAAACTGCACATTCATTTCTACAAAGATTGCTCTGGGAAGTTTTTAACAAATTATTCTTAGTAGTACCTTATAGTGGGGATTAATTATGAATTTAATTTAATTTTTTAATAAAGTACTATATTAGGTTTTTATTGCTGTGTAACAAATTAACACAAACTTAGCTTACAAACAACAAACATTTATTACTTCACAGTTTCTGTATGTCAGGAATCTAGACACTGCTCAAGCTGAGGCTTTTGCTCGTGGTGTCACAAGACTGCAGTCAAGGCGTCAGCCAGGGCTAAGGTCTCATCTGAGATTTAGGATTCTCTCCCCACTGCACATTGGCAGAATTCTTTTTTTTGAGACAGAGTCTCACTCTGTCACCCAGGCTCGAGTGCAGTGGTGCAATCTCAGCTTCACTGCAAGCTCTGCCTCCCGGGTTCACGCCATTCTCCTGCCGCAGGCTCCCGAGTAGCTGGGACTACAGGCGCCCGCCACCACACCTGGCTGATTTTTTTGTATTTTTTAGTAGCGATGGGGTTTCACCATGTTAGCCAGGATGTCTCAATCTCCTGATCTGGTGATCTGCCCACCTCGGCCTCCCAAAGTGTTGGGATTACAGGCGTGAGCCGCTGCACCTGGTCCAGAATTCACTTTTTTAAAGGTACTTAATATGTCAACCTTATTGTTTCTCTATATGCACATTTATTTGTTACTGAAAATTGAAAAAATAGCATGTTGGAATTTTCTTTTAATATAATTCAAATTTTTAAAAACCAGAAAATCTAATTAGTTATGCTCTAATCAAACTTCTCAATGTTTTCTTTTCATTCTTTCCCCACAAGTTACCGTGCTTCAAATTCCAGATGTTGGGATTCATCTCACTGACTTAGGTTCTAAAACATATGGGAGCCCTGTGTGGTGGCTTATGCCTGTAATCCCAGCACATGATAATAATTCAGACTTATTGGTGCTGCTTTGGGTTCAAATTAAAAAGTAGAGCTAAAGTATATTCGAGTTATTCAAATACATTCAAACTTACACAGATTCCTTATAAATTACTGCTATCAAGGTAAGAAGGAAAAGATACAAGAAGAAAAAGACATCACTCATGATAGGTTATTATTGGTATACAGTCTATCCTAGCATAGACTGCTGCATAAATTTGCCAGCAAGAAAGAAAAGTACAAGAATAAAGTTTATGACTAAATCACCTCATTGTCATAATTTCCTATTCTAGCATTCTCAGAAGGATCCCATCTATGATACATGTAGAAACTGCAGCCACATTTGAATGGTTCAATTCTTGATTCATTCTGAACCCTCTTAGGCCCAATATTTGTTAGCTTTCGTTTAAGCTGAGAAAAATCTGTTGAGTAACAGGTATCTCAGTTTTACCATCCTTTCTTTCCACAAATAACGATGTCCTTTTTCCTCTCCTCCTGTAAGGCAAACCATCTCTGATGTCCTGGAAGGTCTTTGCTTTTCTATCTTGTTGTTGGGGTGAACCTTCTGGTGGAGGGGAAGGGAATTTGGTACCTGGGTGGAGAATCAAGTTATCAAGGTTCTTTATTAACGTTTTGGAGCAGAAGTTGTGAGAGGCCTCTGAATCATCCTGGGAATCTTTCTTTGGTGAGCATTTGTGAAGACTTTGGGATCAAGGTGCACATTTGTGATGAGTCGATCAATGGTCTAGTCATAGCTCTAAGCTCCTTCTGGATCTTTAGTCCCAGCAGAATGTGTTGCTGAACTCTCAAATTGCTACAAGGTACCCTGGAAAGAACTATGTAGCCCAGAAAGAGCCTGAAAACCTAAACTCCAACAAATAGTGATGAACAAGTTGACTACAGTTTTTTTTTAACAATTTTAAAATTCATTGCAGTTTGCTTCTCCAAGGCCAGCAGGAAAGTGTCTCTGCTGCTTCAAATCTCTACAATTTCTACCTCGGACCTCTAGACACTCTTTTGAAAGACTCACCTGATTAGGTGAAAGCAACCCAAACTAATCTCTCTTGATTAACTTGAAGTTAAATGATTAAGAGACTTAATTACATTTGCAAAATCCCTTCATATTTGCCACATAACAAAATCTAATCATGGGAGTGACATCATAGTCCTGCCCACACTCAAGAGGAAGGGATCATACGGGGCATGTATACCAGGGGCTGGAAGTCTTGGATGCCATGTTAGAATTATCCTACCACAAGTACTGTTGAGAGTATCTATATCTTAAGTGGACTTTGAAGGAGTATATCTTCCAAGGAATTTATCCATTTCACTTAAATTGTGAGTTTATAGCATATGACATTCTCTTATTTGCCTTTTAATATCTGCAGGCTTTGTAGTGATGTCATTCTTGATACTGGGAATTTGTGTCTGCTCTGTTTTTAATGATCAATCTGATTAGAGATTTATTAATTTAATTTTCCAAGAAACAACTTTTAGCTTCATTGATTTTCTCTATTTTTTTCTGATTTTAATGTAATTGCTCTCTGTTCTTATTTTTCTTATGTACTTCCTTCTGCTTGTTTTGGGTTAAATTTGCTCTTCTGTTTTAGTGTTCTAAGGTAGAAGCATAGATAATTGATTTGAAACTATTCTTCTATTCTAATTAAAAGCATTCATTACTATATATTTCCTTCTAAGCTTCCCTCATGTGTGGTGCAAGAACCTTACAACAACATGTTTTTATTCATTTAATTATGCTTTTTAATTTCCCTTGAGATTTTCTCTTTAACCCATGGATTATCTTAAATATTTTGTTATTTCTTGTTATTATTCTGTTATTGATTTCTAGTTTAATTACACTGTCATCTGATAATACACTTTGTATGACTTCACTTCTTTAAATCTGTTAGTATTCATTCATGACCCAGTATATTGTATATTTTGGTCAAGGTCCCATGGGTGTTTTGAAAGATTGAATTTCTGGCTGTCATTAGATGAAGTGTTAAATAAATACCAGTTGGATCCTGTTGCTTTATTTTTGTGTTCAGTTCTTCTGTGTCCTTGCTGATTTTCATTTTAGTGGTTCCAGCAATTATTGAGAGAAGAGTGTTGAAGTTACCAATTATAATTGTGTTTTCAAGTGTTTCTTTCTATTCTATCAGTTTTTGCTGCCTGTATCTTGAAGCTCTGTGATTTAGTATGTATACATTTAGGAATTTTATGTATTCTTGGTGAATTGACCCTTTTATTGTTATATAATATCTCTATTTGTTTCTGGTAATTGTCTTTTCTCTAAAGTTTACCTTATTAGATATTAATATACTTAACTCCAGCTTTCATTTCATTAGTATTTATTATAGTTTTGCTAATTCTTTGACTTTTAACCTCCTATGTTATTGTATTTTAAGTGAGTTTCTTTTTTTTTTTTTTTTTTTTTTTTTGAGACAGAGTCTCGCTCTGTTGCCCAGGCTGGAGTGCAGTGGCACGATTTCGGCTTACTGCAAGCTCCGTCTCCCGGGTTCACGCCATTCTCCTGCCTCAGCCTCCAAGGTGGCTGGGACTACAGGCACCTGCCACCACACCCAGCTAATTTTTTCTGTTTTTTAGTAGAGAGGGGGTTTCACCATGTTAGCCAGGATGGTCTCGATCTCCTGACCTCATGATTCGCCCGCCTTGGCCTCCAAAAGTGCTGGGATTACAGGCGTGAGCCACTGCGCCCAGCCTAATCAAGTCTTCTTTTATATCTCAGCCTTTTTATTGATGTATTTACATCATTTACATTTAATGTAATTATGAATGTTAAGATTTAAGATTTCCAATTTATTGTGTAGAACACTGCATGTTCCTTCTATTTTTCATTCCTGTCCTCCTTTCCGTTTCTTGAATATTTTTAGTATTCCATTTTAATTTATATATGGTAGAGCTTTTTGTAATGCTTTATTAAGATATAATTCACATACTATACAATTCAAAATTTAAAGTATACAATTGAGTGATTTTGTGTATTCAGTGTTGGACAAACGTCACCACAAATGATATTAGAACACTTTCATTATCCCACAGAGAAACCCTTCACCCTTTGGCTGTTACTCTTCAAATTTGTGCCCAACCCCCAGTCCTAGGCAACTACTCATCTACTTTCTGTCTCTATAGATATGCCAGTGCCAGATATTTCACATAAATATAATTATATAATATGTGGTATTTTTTGACTGGCTTCTTTTGCTTAGCATAATGTTTTCAAGGTTCATCCATGTTGAGCATATACTAGACCTTCATTCCTTTTGCTGAGTAATATTCCACTGTAGAGCTATACAACATTTTGTTTAACCATTCGTCAGTTGATGAATAGCTTATGGATACTTGCATTATTTCCACCTTTTGGCTCTCATGAATAATACTGCAATGGATATTTGTGTACCAGTTTTTGTGTGGACATATGTCTTCGTTTCTCTTGGGTACATACTTGGGATTGGAATTGCTGGGTCAAATGGTTACTTAATGTTTTGAGGAACTTCCAGAATATTTTCCAAAGTGACTCTACCATTTTAGATTCCCACCAGTAGTATATGAGGATTTTGATTTCTCCATATTCTCATTAATACTTGTTATTATGTATATTTTTTATTATAACCATCCTAGTGTATGTGAAGTGGTATCTTATATTGTGGTTTTTGTTCTGTTACCCAGGCTGGAGTGCAGTGGTGCAATCTCAGCTCACTGCAACCTCCACCTCCTGGGTTTAAGTGATTCTCATGCCTCAGCCTCCCAAGTAGCTGGTATTACAGGCATGTGCCACCACCACACCCGGCTAATTTTTGTATTTTTAGTAGAGACGGGTTTTTGCCATGTTGGCCAGGCTGGTCTTGAACTCTAGGCCTCAAGTGATCCGCCCACCTCAGCCTCCCAAAATGTTGGGATTATAGGCGTGAGCCACCCTGCTGGGTCTATGTTGTGTTTTTAAATAAATCTCTTTGTATAGTTTGTTTTCATTGGAGGTTTTTTATTTGTTTCTGAGTGTGTGTGTGTGTGTGTGTGTGTGTGTGTGTGTGTGTATGATTGTTCTAGGTATTAGAATATGTATACTTATTTTATCACAGTCTGTATTTTCCACTTTGAGTACAACATAGAAGCCTTATCACTAATTAGGTCCCTTTACCCTTCTTTTTGATATAGTTATCTTAAAAATCACCTCTACATAAACTGAGAACCACATCATACAGCAAGGTTATCTTTGCTTTCAATCATCGAAACATAACTCTAAAAATTAAAGAGGATAAGCCAGGCATGCACTGTAGCCCCAGCTACTCAGGAGGCTGAGGCAGGGAGGATTGCTTTAGCCCAGGAGTTCAAGACCAGCCTGGGCAACACAGTGAGACCCTCATTAAAAAAAAAAAAAAAACTAAAGAGGTTAAAAACAGTCTATTATGTTTCTCACATATTTACATTCTGCTTCTCTTTTTTCATTCCTGATGTTCTATTTGTTTCATGAGTGTTCATAGTTGGTTGTTGGAGCACTTTTTTGAGAGTTGTTTTAAAATTCTTGTCATATAATTCTAATATATCTGTGTCATCACAGTGTCAGTGCCTGTTGATTATCTTTTCTTGTTTAAATTAATATTTTCCAAACTTTTGAGTTGTTTCATAATTTTGGATTATATCTTTGACATTTTCTGTATTATGAGACTCTGGATCCTATTTAAATATCTTACTTTAGTAAACGGACAATCTGTCAAGGTTTAGAATGAACATTCTCTTTCAATTTTGTGGTTCAAATTTCAAGTTAGTTTTCAGAGATCTTGCAGGGCTCTTCTGGTTTGCCCCACCTCTGGGCTGCTCAGGCCCATTTAGAACCAAGGCAATGATCTAACTATAGTTCAATTCTCAGAGCTTTTGCTATCTTGATTCTGACCAGTTTCACACATGGGCTGCTCAAAAGTGTCCTGACTTTTTGTACCAATTTAAAGAATTACTTCCTCCAACTTTGTCCTCTCCATATTCCTATCTCCTACTCTCTAATTGGAAAGGGGTAAAATACTACCTCATTGCTATCCTTTGCTTAATTCGGGGCATTGATAGTTTGACAGGGCTCCTCCCAACGGTCTCTATAGTGTCCAGTGGGGAAAAGAGGTGCAGTTTCTTTTATTGTATGTGTTTTGAGTAGAGCATAGTCAAATGGTTCACTCAGCAGAGTTACCTGCCTCCCAGTCTTTTTACTAGAGAGAGTAGACTTCTCTTGAGAACTTTGGCATCTGTGCACCTTGGTGTTTCTGGATTATAGGCTACTGTAGCCCATAATGGGAGGCAAAAGCAAACAAGCAAACAGAAAACGCTTCAGGGAACTTACCACCAGGTTGTCTCTCAAGTTCCAAAGTTCCTAGTCCAAGATGCCTTCCCTTCTCTGCCTGTCATTTATTTTGCCTTTTGCCCTGGGGATTTTAGTTGTAATTAGCAGGAGGATGAGGATGCTATGTACTTGCTCTATCTTGTCATCTTGTCTAGAAAGGGAAATCAACTGTGATTTTTTTTTTTTTTTTTTTTTGAGATGGAGTTTTACTCTCGTTGTCCAGGCTGGAGTGCAATGGCACAATCTTAGTTCACTACAACCTCCGCCTCCTGGGTTTAAGCAATTCTCCTGCCTCAACCTCCCGAGTAGCTGGGATTACAGGCGCCCGCCACCACGCCTGGCTAATTTTTGTATTTTTAGCAGAGACTGGGTTTCACCATGTTGGTCAGGCCGGTCTTGAACTTCTGACCTCAAGTGATCTGCCCACCTTGGCCTCCCAGAGTGCTGGGATTACAGGCGTGAGCCACCGCACCCAGCCTGTAATTCATTTTTGTATCACTCATAAAACATACCACAATGCCTAGTGTACAATTGGCATTAATTAAATATTTGTTTCAAAAGACAAGAGTGAGTGAGGGAGGAACATAAGTAGCTCTGTATCTCAAAATGTTAGTTCAGCATAATATGATTGAGTCATCAGTTTAAATTCTAGCCCCACCTACTTTCAGTGTGAACATAGACTGGTTACTTAACTTATTTGAGCCTCAGTTTCCTATAATATGACAATGGTAATATCTACTTCTTAGGACAAGTAAAAATAAGATGATATACTTAAGCATTTAGCACAATGTTTGATAATAAACAGCGAATATAGTTCCTACTTATATTAGTAATAACAATTATCAAATATCACTATCTGTTTCTTATCCTTATAGGAAACTCTGCTCTTAAAGACAAAGAAGATCAGTTTGGGAGAACACCACTTATGTATTGCGTGTTGGCTGACAGATTGGATTGTGCAGATGCTCTTCTGAAGGCAGGAGCAGATGTGAATAAAACTGACCATAGCCAGAGAACAGCCCTCCATCTTGCAGCCCAGAAGGTGAGAAGTAAAATTTCCTTGAAGAGTAAATGTTTTGTGTGATGTCTGCTAGTTGATTAGTGGAACTATGCAATGGACAGATAATAAAGAAGTCTCAAATGCATGACTCATAGGTTTTATATATTTTCTCTAAAAGCTGTCTTTAAGCTGCAGAGAGTAAAAGCACAGATAACTATCAGCGGCTGCATTTCAGGTTCCTCAAACAGTAGAATTTATTCTGTGATCTAAAGTTTATTGGGAAAAAAGTGATCAAATTTATATATACAATGTGATGAAACAATGTTACCAATCTATGTATAGGGAAAAAATAAAGACCAAAAAGAAATACTCAAAGATATTAATAGTGGTTGGGTTTAAATTTGGGGAATATATATGGAATTTTTTTACTTTTCACTGTTTAAAATTTTTTCCTTAATGAGTATTACTTTTACTATAAAAAGTTGAAATCCCAGCCTGGGCAACATAGTGAGACCCCATCTCTACAAAAAATTAAAAAATTAGCTGGGCATGGTGGCGCACACTTGCAGTCCCAGCTACTTGTGGGGCTCAGGTGGGAGGATCACTTGAGCCTGGGAGGTTGAGGCTGCAGTGAACTGAGTTCACATCACTGTACTCCATCCTGAGTGACAGGGCAAGACCCTGTCTCTAAATTAATTAATTAATTAATTTAATTTAATTTAAAAGGTTGAAATGTCGCTTGAAATATGTGGCATTAAGAAGCATAAAATAAATTTATTTTCTGAATGTATTTTCAACTTTTTAAAATCTAAAACTATGTTGCCAATATTAATGATTTCACATTTTTAAATGTATTATTAAGAGCTCAGATTTTTAAGATTAAACCCATCAAACAGATAAAATAGGAAGCTTCTACATTTAGTTAAAGACTTATTCACCTAAAAACTATTTTTCTTCCATAAAATTTTGGTCCATAAAATAGATTTCCAGTGCCTGGTATTTTTCTTTTTGTTATTTTAGATTTCTGTATTTTTTGAATAAAAAGCAATTAAAATGAGTTAGATCCAGCGGGAACTATTAGAGTTATTTTCTATTTAAAAATGTGAACCAGATATAGCTAATTAATTAAGGGGTTAGAAAAATACCTTTCATTAGTTGAATGCATAAAAAAAGGCTGACATTAAGTTATACTACTGAATATGCTAGTTATATGCGCTTCTCAGTTAGGTCTGTCAGGTTATTTTCAAAGTTACTTCTCTTGAATTTGGTTTTTATTATAGTAATTTTTTTAAAAATCTCCCTCATTTTCAATCTCAGTTTTAACTACTTCTCGGGTATTTATAACCTTTCACTTAGGCTTGTCAGCTAATGAAATTATTCACTCGAGAAAGGTAACTCCATTTAACTTGTTATCATAAAAAAGCAAATAGTTCAGATTGGGAAAAGCCGCAAAATTAAGACTTTGATACCCTTTAGATTTTTCATTATGATTGATTTAGGTGTAAAACTCAGCTTCAAAAATGTAGAGTGAAGGAACCTAGCTTAACATCAAGTAGATTATGTGGAGCAAGTGAGGATTTCAGTTGATGATCCAACAGTATAACATCCTGTAGAAGTATTATATGACAAAGATGGTTGAAAGAAGGGGAATGTACAACCAGACATGTTAGCTGTAATCTTTTCATCAGATACCATGCATTGTTTTCTTTAGTTTTTTTGTTTCTACTTTGATTTTTTAATTATAAGTTTTTCATAGTATCGAAGAATAAATAGAACTATGATTTATGTGGTGGTATTTACATAGTTGGTTTTATAACAGATTTCATGTTCTTTCAAGTATCTGATAATTATGCATTTCCTTCCTTACTCTGTGTTGCTGTTTGTTTTTACATGCTTGCCAAAAGCAGTAATGGATCCGAATTCCCAGAAAAGGATAGTAATAATTCTTTAGTATTCTCCTGTGTCCAATTAAATCTGGGTACTGTGTTAGTTCATTTGTGCTTTATACAAAGCACCAGCATTCAGAGATGAAATATAGTATGCACCAGTCAGGAATAAGATAGTAAATGATCTACAAATAATTTTCAAATAATAGTTGGAGATAATATGTCCCAGGCCTGTAATACTCCTTGCCCCCAAAGAGACACAAGCACAAATTCTCTTTAGAGAAAACATCTTCACCTTAAACTTCCAAGATTTTCCCATATTAAATAAACCAAACGTGAACTGACAATGAAAGATCACCAAACTCATAAGGGAACAATCTACTATGAATGAGAGTCAGCAGAAACAACAAACAGATTTAGTCTATGAAAAACATCAGGGATTGGCATCATTAGAGAAACAATATAAAATAACCACTGATGGAATGCTTAAAGATATGAAAGAAGAAATCAGCCAAGCACAGTGGCTCACACCTGTAATTTTAGCACTTTAGAAAGGCCAGGCAAGAGGCTCTCTTGAGGCCAGGAGTTTGAGACCAGCCAGGGCAACATAGAGAGACTCTATTTATTTAAAACAAAAAAAAATTAGCTGGGTGTAGTGGCCCACACCTGTAGTCCTAGCTCCTTGGGAGGCTGAGGCGGAAGGATTGCTTGAGCCCTGGAGTTTCAGACCAGCCTGAACAACAAAGTGAGACCCTGTCTCAAAAAATATATATTTTATTTAATATTATAATTAAAAGAAGGAATCTGGCAGGGTGCAGTGGCTCACACCTGTAATCTTAGGACTTTGGGAGGCCAAGGTGGGTGGATCACTTGAGGCCAGGAGTTTGAGACCAGCCTGGGCAACATGACGAAACCCTGTCTCTACTAAAAACACACACACATACACACACACAAATTAGTTGGGCATGGTCGTGAGCACGTGTACTCCCAGCTACTTGGGAGGCTGAGGTGGAAGGGTCGCTTGAGCCTGGGAAGTCTGCAGTGAGGAGAGATCATACCACTGTATTTCAGCCTGGGGGACTGGAGTGAGACCCTGCCTCAAAAAAAAATGTAAATACATAAAAAAATTTTTTAAAAAAACAAGGAATCAGAAAAATAAGAAACCAACAAGACACTTTCATAACTAGGCATCAATTCTGGCCATAATGGCTTATTTTAAACTAATTTGCCTGTCAAAAAAATCTGTAAAAACTGAATAAAATACTATATACATTGTTTGAAGGCATTGAGAACAATCAGCACAGGCAGGATCTAAGAGACTACAATCATTCAAAGAAGAGAAACACGTAAAGTGAGTACCACATTCATCCTGGCCTTTTCCTTTATGACATTTTCCAAACTGGAATGCAAAAGAATACAACCCTAACAGGAAGCAGCAGCCTTACCAGGCTGAAGAAACTGAGGCAGAGTTTGGAGATAATAGTGGCTGGAACTTGAAAGTCAAAATCCTGGAGAGGAGGGAATTGCAGAGAAAGAATGCAAGAATCTGGATACAAATTCCTCACAAGTTTTTAACAGATTCCTAAACTGTGCTTGTATAGGGTGGTGCTCTAAGAAACCTAGTATTAAACAACAGCTGGGAGACTAGACAGCTGAGTAGAGATTATTTTAAATTATCCTATATTTTCTTTTATGTTTAAATCTCTTAATATATAACACATTGATTTTTGTATGGGGATCCATTCTCATTTTAAAGCATATGGATAACTAATTTTCCCAACACAACCTAGTTCATTAATTTTTGGCCATTTAGTATCTGCTCTCTGTCAGTTCCAGGCTTTTGTACTACGAACTCCCTATGCATTTCTGTTTTTTTAAATGAGGGATCCTGAATACTAGGGAGCCTTTGGGAAATTTGAAAATAAAAGTTACATGATCAGTGTATTTTAGGGGGACTAATATGGCAACTAAAGCTACTTTGGAAGAGAAAGAGTGGAGATACATAGATTGCTATTATAGTTCAGGCCAATAGAGAGGAATTGGGTTTAAGAGATACATTATGGAGGCAGAAGTGTTCATTCAACAAGCGTTTGTTAAATATCTACTATGTAATCATGATTATACAACTAGAGAGAATATGAAAAAAATGAATTACGTATGTTAGCTTATAGATGGATGCTCTCAGTACCCATCCCTATTAATCGTCATTTCCCTTTGTTTAGTGAACCTTCTGATATATTGGATATCAAATATCCTTTCCAAGTATTGTCTGTCCCACTTAATTCTGGTATCCATGAATGCAGAAGTGTGCTATTTATGTAATCATGAACACTCATGTATATGTGTATACCTTCATTCATTCAACATGTGTTAAAACTATTATGTAACAGGCATCATGTTAGGCCTTGGAACACAAAGGTGAACAACATGATTCCTGCTCTTAAGTTGCTTACAAAGATCATGGATGAAGATATTAAATGATAATTAAAGCTGATTGATCTACCTTGTAATACATAAGTGTTTTATAAAATATCTATAGCCATAATAGTCATTGTTATTATTGACATGAGAAGACCAAACATTCTCATACATTATTTATTATGTTTCTAGTTTTTGTGTGTGTGTGATAGTGAACTGTATTATGTTATCTTTTCTTGGGTTCATTAGTGGGAAAAGCTCATATTCCCAAAGCATTTTGCTCACATCTCTATTAGAGCCCCATTACCTTATATTGTAATTATTGCTTACTTGTCTCTTTTCTACTAGGCTGGAGCTCCAGGCAAGTAGCTCTTTTTGTTTGTTTTTGAATCTCTCTGAATCTAGTAAGTTCTGACATGTCTTGGTTGAATGAATTTTATTTTACTTTTATAGAAAGTCATTACTAATACAAATACGAGACCTTTTGTTTATTGGAAACATTTATCTACTTTAAAAATATATATGTTTGTGGAAAAACTTATTGAACTGTGCTGCTTGGCTTAGTTATTTTGGCACATGTTCACTTCTCTGGAAACAAATTACTGTTAGTCCAAGAAACTGAAGAAATGGTACCCATGAGAATAAAATTAATCTCAATATACTGAACATCTGCACCTAATTTGTTTTTCATTTAGAACCATCAGTTTAATCCAAGAAAGCAATTGGTCATACCTTTTCTGGGCTTCTCACAAAAGATATCTAATTGTTAGAAATGTTTTGCTCCAGGGAGGCTACTATTTCTCTGACTTCTACTGATACATTTGTTAATAAGGATAAAAAAGCTTTAGAAATATTAGTATATGTTAATAGTTATGCATGTTTAATCTTCCAGGAGGTTATTTATTTGGCTTCAAGAAGCTTAAGACTACCCACTTTGACAAATTATATCACAGTAAACACAAAAATTAAAGAACCTTCTGGTTGTGGCTGCATTGTCCTTTTTTTAAATTCATAAATAATTCTCAGTTCATCTATGAAAATTGAATGTTTATTTTCAGTTTTCAAGGTACGCTGTTTCCATGTTACTGATTTACAAAAAGGAGAAAGAATACCTCTGAAACTTTTCAGGAACACTTATACCAGGTAACACTATTAGGTTTTCTTATTTTGCAGATGCACACACAAACACAACAAACAATCCACGCCCCAGTCCCCTTCAGCTCTGTATTCCCCCTCAGTACATATATAGCTCTACCATAACTCATCACCACAGTTTATTGGAGATTTTGTTTATCTAGGTCTCACGCCCAGTAAAGCTATTTGAAGGCAGTGACCATGTCTTATTTGATTTCATAGTTACAGTCCTAGCATAGCTTCTGCCACTTAATAAAGACAGTAATTTATTTAAGGAATACATGAATGAATGAATGAATGAATGAATGAATGAATGAATCAGTAAATGTGAATATCAAATAGATTTAATATGAAGGGCATGGCCTTCAAGACTGTTGAAATTTAAATGAATAATTATATTTATTCCTTTTCACTATCCACTCCCTGCCCTTACAATTTTGCAATCAGGATTTTTTAAGATTTTCTGTGAGCTTAATTTCTTAATAAACAATGCTCTTGTATGCCTCAATTTCTTCATCTATAAAATGGAATAATACATCCTATCTTCTATGTAGGGATGATGAGTCCTTAGATATAAAGCATTCTGTTTGTTGGAGAAATTTATTCTCAAGGACTACATTATCAATATTATTGCTATTAGTCACACTACAATGTAGGTGCAAACATCAAATTACTGTTTAGAGATCAGCAGATGTCAGAGATAGAAAGGCTCTTTGGGATCTTCTTGTCCAATTTGTCCTTGGATGAGGAAACTGAACTCTACTCCTTTTACATCTCTTCTCTTTAAAAATTACTGTACTCACATTCTCTTTGCCTTTGCATATGCCTGGAATTTTTTTTTTTTAATTATCTTAAGCATAGAGATAAGAAAGAACAGGGCCTGGTGCCATGGCTCACGCCTGTAATCTCAGCAATTTGGGAGGATGAGGCAGGAGGATCACCTGAGGTCAGGAATTTGAGACCAGCCTGGCCAACATGGTGAAACCCCATCTCTACTAAAAATACAAAACTTAGCTGGGCGTGATGGTGCGTGCCTATAATCCCAGCTACTCAGGAGGCTGAGGCAGGAGAATCGCTTGAACCTGGGAGGCGGAAGTTGCAGTGAGCGGATATTGCACCACTGCACTCCAGCCTGGGCAACAGAGTGAGACTCCATCTCAAAAAAACAAAAACAAACAAAAAACAATGGAGAACTGAGAAAACATTAGGTACCTAATACCTCGAAGAGATCAAACTCAGTATTTCTTATTTTTGCTTCAGAATTTTTAAACAAAACTATAGATTCACTTGAAGTCTTCCATTTATCTTCCAAAACCCTTCTTTCCCTGTCTCCTCAGTCTGTCTTGATTTTGTTGGTTTCAATTCCCATGCATATGTTTCTACCTTTACTTTATGTGTGTGTGTGTGTGTGTGTGTGTACATGTGCACATACACTATTATGGGTAAACCATATTATTTTGCATCTTTAAATTAATGGTATTATACTGTGTGACATTTACCAACTTGCTTTTTCAACTTAATATTATGTATTTGAAACTTCTTCATGTTGAAACATGTAGCCCTATTTCATAAAAGATTATATCCAGATGCCTAAAAGACACATGAGATGGTACACAACATCATTACTAATTAGAAGCAAATTAAAACTCCAATGAGATACTACTACATGACCAGTGGAATGTATAAAGTAAAAAAGTCTGGCAATCAATATTGATTGATGGTGAAGATATGGAGCAACTGGAGCTCCCCAACATTTTTGTTGAGAATGTATATTGGTACATTCACTCTCGCAAACTATCTGACTATATCTGCCAAAGCTACACACACACACACACACACACACACACACACACACACACATACACACATCCCTCATCTCAATTCATGCTCCCAGCCCCGGTAATACCTAAGAAAAATAAGTGCCTCTTTCTACTAGAAGACATGTATGAGAATTACATGATAGTTTTATTTAGAAAAGCAAACATTCCTTTTTTTAACTTCTATTTTTCCATAAGTTATTGGGGGTAAAAGTGGTATTTGGTTACATGAGTAAGTTCTCTAGTGGAGATTTGTGAGAACCTGGTACACCCATCGCCCGAGCAGTATATGCCGCACCATATTTGTTGTCTTTTATCCCTTGCCCCCATTCCACTCTTCCCCCCAAGTCCCCAAAGTCCACTGTATCATTCTTAGGCCTTTGCATCCTCATAGCTTAGCTCCCACATATCAGTGAGAACATATGATGTTTGGTTTTCCATTCCTGAGTTACTTTACTTAGAATAATAGTCTCTAATCTCATCCAGGTCATTGCAAATGCTGTTAATTCATTCCTTTTTAAGGCTGAGTAGTATTCCATTGTGTATATCTATACACCAGAGTTTCTTTATCCACTCGTTGATTGATGGGCATTTGGGTTGGTTCCACAATTTTGCTATTGTGAATTGTGCTGCTATAAACATGTGTGAGCAAGTATCTTTTTCGTATGATGACTTCTTTTCCTCTGGGTAGATACCGAGTAATGGGATTGCTGGATCAAATTGTAGTTCTACTTTTAGTTCCTTAAGGAATCTCCACACTGTTTTCCATAGCGGCTGTACTAGTTTACATTCCCACCAGCAGTGTAGAAGTGTTCCCTGAACGCCCCATCCATGCCAACATCTACTGTTTTTTTATTCTTTGATTATGGCCATTCTTACAGGAGTAAGGTGGTATTGTGTTGTGGTTTTGATTTGCATTTCCCTGATCATTAGTGATGTTGAGCATTTTTTCATGTTTTTTGGTCATTTGTGTAACTTCTTTATAAAAGCAAATATTCTTAATAGTGCAGACAACCCAAATACGTACCAACAGGTGAATGAGTAGCTAAATTGTGATGTATTCCTACAATGGAACACTGCATGAATGAACTGCTGACACGTTCAACCACATAAGTTAATTTCATAGACATTATGTTGAGTGGAACAAGTCAGACACTTATAAAAAATTTATTTGCTGTTCATATCAACCTCAGGAACAAGAAAAACTAATCTATGGTGAGTCAAATCAGATTTGTGGTTACCTAAAAGATGGGTAATATACTGAGAAGAATATGAATAAGCTTTCAGGGGTGCTGAAAATGTTCTGGATCGGTGTGTGTGTTGGTTACATTAAAAGGTACCAGTCTGTATGCTTAAGATTTATGCACTTTACTGTATATGTTATATTCTCAATTTTTAAAGTATTATTTAAAAAATGATAAAATGTTCAGAACTTGGTAGACATTATTTGTAGGGAAGGTAAGGGAGGACGGAACCAAGAATGGTTCCTGACCTAGACTGTTAAGCACTCAGGTCAAATTTCCCCCATCCTTAGCCTCAGGAGCTATATGAAAGCCCTGTGT
Organism: Homo sapiens; assembly: GCF_000001405.40. Taxonomy (NCBI): domain Eukaryota; kingdom Metazoa; phylum Chordata; class Mammalia; order Primates; family Hominidae; genus Homo; species Homo sapiens. The sequence continues at coordinate 100,135,325 of NC_000009.12, forward strand.
CTATGCTCTTATCCAGGGGTTCTTAGATGAACATGCAGCAGAATCACTTGGAGAACTTGTTAAAACATAGACGTCTGGGCCCCACCACCAGTGTTTTTAATTCAGCAGGGCTGGTGTGGGGCCAGAGAATGTGCTTATCTAACAAGCTCCCAGGTGATGGTGATGATGTAGGCAACACACTTTGAGAATCACTACTCTATTCTGCTTATACCATTTGTCTTTGCTGCATTTTCAATGCTATTGGCTCCATAACCTCTAGATACCTATCCTGTTTTACTGGGGACTCTTTTGACTGGTATTCCTAGCTCTTGATGACATGACTCATAGAGGTAGGATATACTAGTCCAGGTACAATTTTGAGAGGAAGTTATCGAGTTCAGTTGTGAAAAATGGAATTTTAGGCTTCGGTGATAATGACTAGTATGAATTGTGATAGTTTGCATCTCCAAAGTAAGGTCTTGGCTGGAGTTATTAGTATACATATAGAAACCATAGAAGTAGTTGAAGGGCTCAGGTATGGTTTATAGATGGGAAGAGGACTAGAAATAGAAAACACCAATATTTAAGGTTTATTTACAGAAAATAAACTTACAAAGGAGACAGTACAAGATAGGAGAAGAACTAGATCAGAGTGGTGTTATGGAGCCAGAGGGACAGGTTTCAAGCAGAAGAGGATCCATTTGTTTCATCTTTTTTACTATGATGCTAAGATTTGAATAGTTCCTTTTCCACTAAATGACTCAATAAATGGATGGATATAAATATGATAAGAATTAAAAGGCTTCCACTGGATTTTTCAGTTAGAAAGTGACCTTAGCAAGAGCAATGGTATTTAGTGGACACACAAGCTAGATATATATCACTGTTGAGTAAACAGGAAATGAGGATATGGAGACAGTACGAGTGATTGATTAATGGGGTTATTGATCAGGAAAAGTATGGACGGAAGAAATTGTGGTGGGAAAATTTTTAATAAATAATAATCTCTCCCAGTATAACCGTCACCCACTTTCAATAAATATTAATTCATAAACTTGTTTCTGTAGACTTCAAACTGTTTTATTATATATTCTATTATTTCATCCATAAATATTTCAGTATATTTATAATTCATATATCCCCACGATATCATTGTACCAAAAAGAAATTAGTGATAATTCTGTAATATTATTAAATACCTAATCAGTGTTCAAATTTTCCTGATTATATCTCAAACATTTTTTTACAGTTGATTTATTCAAATCAGGACCTAAACAAGGTCTATACATTGTATTTGGTTGATAAGTCTTTTAAGTCTCTTGTAATCTAATAGATGAGAGATATTTGAACACGTTTAAATGTTAAGGAAAAGGAGACATCAAAAATTTAGGAGAAAGAATGGATTATTGATGGATCAAAGTCGCTGGGGAGATGGGAACAGAAAGGACAGTCGGGTCTGGGCACAGTAGCTCACGCGTGTAATCCCAGTGCTTTGGGAGGCTGAGGTGGGCAGATCACCTGAAGTCAGAAGTTCAAGACCAGCCTGGCCAACATGGTGAAACCCCATCTCTAATAAAAATACAAAAATTAGCCAGGTGTAGTGACACACGCCTGTAATCCCAGCTGTGCGGGAGGCTGAGGCAGGAGAATCACTTGAACTCAGGAAGCAGTGGTTGCAGTGAGCCGTGATCGCGCCACTGTACTCCAGCCTGGTCAGCAGAGGGAGACTCCTTCTCAAAAAAAAAGGACAGACAGTTGGAAAGTTTAGATACACAGTAGGAAAGTTTGTTCAATGAATGAGTATGCTATGAACTTAGAATGTATCTGAATATTCTTGACAATCAATTATAAAATATGAAAACTGGAAGGGCCTTGGAAATTATTCTTATTTTACACATGGGAAAACAAGGAGTTCTAGGTTTTCTTTTGATTAGAGGGAGATGTTTTGTCCCTAAAGCAGGGGAGACTGGATAGGAAAGGAAACCTTAGGAATATAGGGGACCACTGCTGCTCCTCTCACACCTCCCCAGACCCTAACACCCTTGGTTCCATTAAACTCCTAAACTTGGGCTTCAGGAACAGAGGAAGTGAGAAAGCTAGTGTTTAATGATAACTTGTTTTTTCACTGCATAACAAGGACCTTGTTATTTTCTGGTGCTCTGCAGAGTAAATATAGCATAATGAAAAAGAAATGGTATCTGGTATCAGAATTTATAAGATCTATATTCGAGTCATAATTCAAAGACATTTGGTACTCTGTGACCTTGAGCAGGTAGTTTAACTCTCTAAGCCTCTGTAAAATGGAGATAATATTTCTAACATACTTACATCATAAGATTGTAAGTATGAAAATACATTGAAATACTGATTGATGTGTATGCCAAAGACCCTGAAAGGCAGCAAAGTTATACATAGTGTTTACAAATATATATGAGTATGAAACATCTGAAAACCATATAAATAATCTCTTTTGCAAATATAGGTACTTTTTCCAATTGTATTTAAAAGTTGATGTGATTAATTGATGTGATTAAGAAAATGGCATTTCATTTAAAATTGTAGCTGAATTCAATTCTCATATTTTTTCAATGAACCAACAAATACTAAATTTAAACATTAAGGTTCTACTGAATTTTTTGTAGGATTTTTTTGCTGTTTTTTAACTTTAAAAAGAGTTAAACTTTAAAAGACTGAGAGTCAACGTAATAATATATGTGTATAAAGTGCTTTATTTATAAGTAACTTTAATTGAGAATAACAGCAAGTAGGTATAGCCATCTAGTGACTTTAACTTTCTTTTTAAAATATATGTAACTCCTCAGCCAGGCATGGTGGCTCATGTCTGTAATCCCAATACTTTGGGAGGCTGAGGCAGGTGGATCACCTGAGGTGAGGAGTTCGAGACCAGCCTGGCCAATGTGGTGAAACCCCATCTCTACTAAAAATACAAAAATTAGCTGGGCGTGGTGGCACGTGCCTATAATCCCAGCTACTCGGGAGGCTGAGGCAGGAGAATCGCTTGAACCCAGTGGGTAGAAGTTGCAGTGAGCCGAGATCGTGCCATTGCACTCCAGCTAGGGTGACAAGAGCGAAATTCCGTCTCAAAAAAAAATTTTATATATATATATATCCTTATACATTTAACCCTCAGAGCAACATCTTTTTATTCTTTAATTGGAAACATTAGATTTGAGTTGAAGAAACATTATCATATACTTCAACCATTAATGTTTCTGTACCCAGCTTCTACCCTTTCCGGCTCTGTCATTTGCTCAAACAAATCTGTCTTATTTAAATCAAAAGAGTTGCATATAGGCACTTTTGATAAAGAGTCTTTAACCTTGAAATTTTATTGATTTCGACTTTTGTTTTTAAATTATTTTTATTGATGGTTTCCTTTTTTTTTTTTTTTTTTCCTTTCAAGAGAGAGTCTCGCTCTGTCACCCAGGCTGGAGTGCAGCAGCACGATCTCGGCTCACTGCAACGTCTGCCTCCTGGGTTCAAGCGATTCTCCTGCCTCAGTCTCCGAAGTAACAGGGATTACAGGGGCCTGCCACCACGCCTGGATAATTTTTGTATTTTTAGTAGAGATGGGTTTCACCATGTTGGTCAGGCTGGTCTTGAACTCCTGACCTCAAGCAATCCACCTGCCTCAGCCTCCCAAAGTGCTGGGATTACAGGCGTGAGCCACCGCGCCCGGCCTTATTGATGGTTTTCCTTGTCAAAACATTATTTAATCAAAACAGATGAAAGCATGTAGGGAGAGATTTCTTTTACAAACATATTTTGTGCTTCTTTGTTTTATATTATAGGGTACAGAAATGACTTATTTGTTGTTGTTGTTTTCATGATGCACAATGTGACCTAATTTACCTAGGCTTACTCTTTTCTCAGTTCTCGTACTTCTGTGTTTCTCTGATTCATTGATATATTGACCACTTGTTCATTTCAGAATTTTCTCTGGACTTTGATACTGCAGTAACTTATTTTTCTGCTACTCCTTTGATAGTTCATTGTTTTCTTTATTAACTCCTTTCCTTTAACTCCCATTTCTGCCCCAAGATAAAAGTCTTTCTATATATTCTACCTTTCAGAGGTCTCATCTACTTCTATAAGTTTCGGCTATTTTCCCTCAAATATTTGTCTCTAGCCCTAGCCTCTCCCCTTATTCCAGACTTATATTTCCAGCTATCTTCTAGAAATCTCTACCTGGATATCTTCCCAAAATCTCAATTTCAGCATATCTGAAACAAGACCTTACCTTTTAACCTGTAATCAGTCCCGTCATCTGATTTTTAAAAACAATTTATTGAGGTGAAATACACATAGCATAAAATTAACCCTTTTTTTGTGGGGGGAGATAGAGTCTCACTTTGTCACCCAGGCTGGAGTGCAGTGGTGTGATCAGGGCTCACTGCAGCTTCAACCTCCTGGATTCAAGTGATCCTCCTGCCTCAGCCCCCAAGTAGCTGGGACTATAGGCACGTACCACTACGCCCAGCTAATTTTTGTATTTTTTATAGAGACAGGGGTTTCGCCTTATTGCCTGGGCTGGTCTCAAACTCCTGAGCTCAAGCTATCAGCCCGCCTTGGCCCACCAAAATGTTAGGATTACAGGCATGAGCCACCGCACCCAGACAAAATAACCACTTTAAAGTGAGCAATTCAGAGAAATTTTGTACATTCGTTATGTTGTGCAACCACTACCTCTATCTAGTTCCAAAGCATTTCCATCACTCTCAAGTAAAACCACTTATCCATTAAACAGTTTGTCTCCATTGCCCTCTCTCCCTAGCCCCTGGCAACCACCAGTATGCATTCTGTTTCTATGGATTTATAGATATTTCATGTAAAAAGGAATCATATATGACCTTTGTTTCATGCACGTCTGTGTAAAGAGACCACCAAACAGGCTTTGTGTGAGCAACAAGGCTATTTATTTCACCTGGGTGCAGGCGGGCTGAGTCTGAAAAGAGTCAGTGAAGGAAGATGGGGTGGAGCTGTTTTATAAGATTTGGGTAGGTAAAGGAAAATTACAGTCAAAGGGGGGTTGTTCTCTGGCGGGCAGGAGTGGGGGTCACAAGGTGCTCAGTAGGGGAGCTTTTGAGCCAGGATGAGCCAGGAGAAGGAATTTCACAAGATAATGTCATCAGTTAAGGCAAGAATAGGCCATTTTCATTTCTTTTGTGGTGGAATGTCATCAGTTAAGGCAGGAACCGGCCATCTGGATGTGTACGTGTAGGTCACAGGAGATATGATGGCTTAGCTTGGGCTCAGAGGCCTGACATTCCTGTCTTCTTATATTAATAAGAAAAATAAAACAAAATAGTGGTGAAGTGTTGGGACAGCGAAAATTTTGGGGGATGGTACGGAGAGATAATGGGCGATGTTTCTTAGGGCTGCTTCGAGCGGAATTAGGGGCGGTGTGGGAACCTAGAATGGGAGAGATTAAGCTGAAGGAAGATTTTGTGGTAAGGGGTGATATTGTGGGACTGTTAGGAGAAACGTTCGTCATTTAGAATTACTGGTGATGGCCTAGATACGGTTTTGTATGAATTGAAAAACTAAATGGAATAAGAGAAGGAGAAAAACAGGTATTAAAGGACTAAGAATTGGGAGGACCTAGGACATTTAATTAGAGAGTGCCTAAGGAGGTTCAGCATAGTTCTGCCAGCAAAGATTATTTATTTACTTCAAGAGTTAAGAGTGGCAGTTTGGGGATAGCTCCAGGAGATATCAGCTGTGATGGCTTGGAGAAACAGTGTAAACCAGCAGTGTAAACAAGAGCAGGGCATGTGTGAGTAGTTGAGAACAGTGAATAGGAGTATGATTAGACAGAAGATAGTAGGGATGACAAGTTTTTTGGGGCACAGTCCAAGTTGGTCTTGGAATGATACTGGGGCCTAATAAAAAGGAGCATCTATACAGGAGCTTAAATGAGCTGTACCTTGTAACATTCTGAGGACAGGCCTGAATTCTGAGAAGGGAAAGTGGTAAAAGTATTGTCTAGTCCTTTTTAAGTTGGTGGCTGAGCTTGGTGAGGTGTGTTTTTAAAAGACCGTTAGTCCATTCTACCTTTCCTGAAGACTGAGGACCGTAAGGGAAATAAAGGTTTCACTGAATACCAAGAGCCTGAAAAAATGCTTGGCTGATTTGACTAATAAAGGCCGGTCTGCTATCAGACTGTATAGAGGTGGGAAGGCCAAACCGAGGAATTATGTCTAACAGAAGGGAAAAAATGACCGCGGTGGCCTTCTCAGACCCTGTAGGAAAGGCCTCTACCCATCCAGTGAAAGCGTCTACCTAGACTAAGAGGTATTTTAGTTTTCTGACTCGGGGCACGTGAGTAAAGTCAACTTGCCAGTCCTGGGCAGGGGCAAATCTCCGAGCTTGATATGTAGGAAAGGGAGGAGGCCTGAACAATCCCTGAGGGGTAGTAGAATAGCAAATGGAACACTGAGAAGTGATTTCTTTGAGGATAGATTTCCAGGATGGAAAGGAAATGAGAGGTTCTAAGAGACGGGCTAGCGGCTTGTAACCTACATGGAAGAGGTTATGAAATGACGACAGAATAGAATGGGCCTGTGAGGCTGGAAGGAGATATTTTCCTTGGTCTAAGAACCATTTGCCTTCTGTGGGAAGAGATTGATAGGTGGAAGTTTCAGTGGGGGAGTAGGTGGGAGTGACTGACGTGAAGGAGAAAAACTGGCTGTGAGGGACAGAAGTTGGAATGCTAGCTGCTTGTCTAGCCACCTAATCAGCGTAAGCGTCGCCTAGAGCAATGGGATCTGATGCCTTTTGATGCCCCTTGCAGTGAATGACTCTAGCTTCCTTTGGAAGTTAAGCGGCGTTGAGAAGCGTTTTTATTAAAGAGGGATTAATGATAGAGGACCCTTGTTTAGTGAGGAAACTTCTTGCATGGTGGTGCACGATATGAAAGGCATATTTAGAGTCAGTATAAATATTGACGCATAGTCCTTTTGCAAGAGTGAGGGCTTGGGTTAAGGCAACTAGTTCGGCTTGCTGAGAGGTAGTGGAGGGGGGCAGAGCGGTAGCCTCAATGATAGATGTGGAAGATACTATAGCATAGCCTGCCTTTGCTGGTGAGTGGCATTTAGGCCTGGTGGAACTGCCATCAATAAACCAAATGTGATTAGGGTGAGGAACAGGAAAGAAGGAAATACGGGGAAATGGGGTGAATGTCAGGTGGATCAGAGAGATACAGTCATGAGGGTCAGGTGTGGTATCCAGAATAATGTGGGAGGCCGGGTTGAAGTCCGTGCCAGGAACAATGGTAATTGTGGGAGACTCAACAAAGAGTGAATATAGCTGAAGGAGCCAGGGAGCAGAGAGTATATGCATCAGGTATGAGGAAGAAAATAGATTTTGGAAGTTATGAGAACTGTAGAGAGTCAGTTGAGCATACTTTGTGATTTTTAGGGCCTTTAAAAGTATTAAGGCAGCGGCAGCCGCTGCATGCAGACATGAGGGTTGGGTTAAAACAGTAAGGTCCAGTTGTTTGGACAGAAAGGCTATAGGACGTGGTCCCAGCTCTTGTGTAAGAATTCTGACCTTACTAACCATGCCTAGGAAGGAAAGGAGTTGTTGTTTTGTAGAAGGGATTGGGGTTTGGGAGATTAGCCGGAGACGATAATCAGGGAGAGCACGTGTGTTTTTATGAGAATTATGCTGAGATAGGTAACAGATGAGGAAGAAATTTGGGCTTGACTGAAGTAATGGGGGCTGTCTGTGAAGCCTTGCAGCAGTACAGCCTAAGTAATTTGCTGAGCCTGATGGGTGTCAGGGTCAGTACAAGTGAAAGCGAAGAGAGGCTGGGATGAAGGGTGCAAAGGAATAGCAAACAAAGCATGTTTGAGATCTAGAACAGAATAATGGGTTGTGGAGGGAGGTATTGAGGATAGGAGAGTATATGGGTTTGGCACCACGGGGTAGATAGGCAAAACAATTTGGTTGATAAGGCGCAGATCCTGAACTAACCTGTAAGCCTTGTCTGGTTTTAGGACAGGTAAAATGGGGGAATTGTAAGGGGAGTTTATAGGCTTTAAAAGGCCATGCTGTAGCAGGCGAGTAATAGCAGGCTTTAATCCTTTTGAAGCGTGCTGTGGGATGGGATATTGACATTGAGCAGGGTAAGGGTGATTAGGTTTTAATGGGATGGTAAGGGGTGCAGGATCGGTCACTAAGGAGGGAGTAGGGGTGTCTTATACTTGTGGGTTAAGATGGGGAGATACAAGGGGAGGATGTGAAGGAGGCTTTGAACTGGGGGAAAAGGCAGCGATGAGGTGTGGCTGTAGCCCAGGAATAGTCAGGGAAGCAGATAATTTAGTTAAAGTGTCGGCCTAATAAGGGAACTGGGCAGGTGGGGATAACTAAAAAGGAGTGCTTAAAAGAGTATTGTCTAAGTTGGCACCAGAGTTGGGGAGTTTTAAGAGGTTTAGAAGCCTGGCCGTCAGTACCTGCAACAGTTATGGAGGCAAGGGAAACAGGCCCTTGAAAAGAAGGTAATGTGGAGTGGGTAGCTTCCATATCGATTAAGAAGGGGACGGACTTACCTTCCACTGTGAGAGTTACCTGAAGCTCGGCGTCCGTGATGGTTTAGGGGGCTTCCGAGGCGATCGGGCAGTGTCAGTCTTCAGCTGCTAAGCCGAGAAGATCTGGGAAGGAGTCACTCAGAGAGCCTTGGGCCAGAGTTCTAGGGGCTCTGGGAGTGGCTGCCAGGTGAGTTGAACAGTCTGATTTTCAGTGGGGTCCTACACAGATGGGACACGGCTTAGGAGGAATCCTGGGCTGCGGGCATTCCTTGTCCCGGTGGCCAGATGTCCGGCACTTGTAGCAAGCTTCTTGGGGAGGAGGTTCTGGAGGAACTCCTGGCTGCTGTGGTTCAGGTGTTTGGAAGTTCTTGTGTGCTGGTGATGTGGCTGGGATATGTCTCACAGTGGAGGCAAGGAATTGCAACTTTTTTCTATTATTGTACACCTTGAAGGCGAGGTTAATTAAGTCCTGTTGTGGGGTTTCAGGGCCGGAATTTAATTTTTGGAGCTTTATTTAAAGTCAGGAGCTGACTGGGTAATCAAATGTATATTGAGAATAAGATGGCCTTTTGACCTTTTAGGGTCTAGGGCTGTAAAGCGTCTCAGGGTTGCTGCCAAACGAGCCATGAACTGGGCTGGGTTTTTCATATTTGATGAAAAAGAGCCTAAAGGCTAACTGATTTGGGAGAGGTCGGATAAAGAAAAAGGAGCATTAACCTTGACTATGCCTTTAGCTCCAGCCACTTTCCTAAGAGGAAATTGCTGGGCAGGTAGGGGAGGGCTAGTCGCGGAACAAAACTGTAAGCCAGACTGGGTGTGAGGAGGGGAGATGATAGAAGGATTATAGGGTGGAGGAGCTGAGGCTGAGGAAGAATTGGGACTTAGCTCGGCCTGGCGACAAGCAGCCTGGGGAGGAGGGGAAAGGTCAGATGGGTCTGTAGAAAAGGAAGACTGGAAAGACTCAGCGACGCTTGGGGTTGGGACTGAGGGGACAGCCAGGAGGGAAAGAAGGAGGATTGGGGAGGAATCACATTGGGAACAGAGACTAGGGAGGGAACAACGTGTAGAAGAATGCCTGGACGTCAGGCACCTCAGACCATTTGCCTATTTTACAACAAGAATTATCTAGATCTTGTAGGATGGAAAAATCGAAAGTGCCGTTTTCTGTCTATTTGGAACCACTGTTGAGTTTGTATTGGGGTCAAGCGGCATTGTAGAAGAAAATAAGTTGTTTAGGTTTTAGGTCAAGTGTGAGTTGAAGAGGTTTTAAGTTCTTGAGAACACAGGCTAAGGGAGAAGAAGGAGGAATGGAGGGTGGAAGGTTGCCCATAGTGAAGGAAGCAAGCCCAGAGAACAGAGTAGAGACACGGAGGGAAGGGGTTTGGGGGTTCTTACCTTCCAGAAAAGCAGGAAAGGGGTCGGGGCATGGAGATATAAGGGGTTGGGGTGCAGAGATAAGAGGTCAGGGCACAGAAATAAGGGATCAGGGCGCAGAGATAAGAGGTTGGGGCGTGGAAATAAGGGATGGGGTGCAGAGATAAGAAGTCAGGGCATGGAAATAAGGGATTGGGGTGCAAAGATAAGAGGTCAGGGCATGGAATTAAGGGATCGGGGCACAGAGATAAGAGGTTGGGGCATGGAAATAAGGGATCAGGGGGTTCTTGCCCCCTAGAAAAGTGGTACTTGCCACTAAGGGTGAAGGAGAAGGGGTTGGGGGGTTCTTGCCCCCCTGAAAAAGCAGAGAAGGGGTAGAGACACAGAGAGAAGGAGTTGGGAGGTTCTTGCCCCCCAGAAAAGCAGTACTTGCTGCTAAGGGTGAAGGACCAAGGCAGGCGTCCCCGTGTGGTCAGACACCTCTGAAACGTGGGTGAGTAATCAGGCAGTCGTCCCCACGTGATTAAACACCAAGGGAAGACTGTCTTCCCTAGTCTGTGACCAGCGCCGGAGTTTTGGGTCCACGGATAAAACGCGTCTCCTGTCTCTACCAGAAAAGGAAAGGAACTGAACTTAAGAGAAGGGAGAGATTGAAGGGTGGTACCAAGATTGAAAGGAGAAAGTGGTTGAGGGATAGTGAGAGAGGTTGGAGAAGAGATTAAGAAGAGGCGGCTTACCTGATTTAAAATTGGTGAGATGTTCCTTGGGCTGGTGGGTCTGAGGACCCGAGGTCGTAGGTGGATCTTTTTCACGGAGCAAAGAGCAGGAGGACAGGGGATTGATCTCCCAAGGGAGGTCCCCCCGATCCGAGTCACAGCACCAAATTTCATGCGCATCTGTGTAAAGAGACCAACAAGCAGGCTTTGTGTGAGCAGCAAGGCTGTTTATTTCACCTGGGTGCAGGCGGGCTGAGTCTGAAAAGAGAGTCAGTGAAGGAAGATGGGGTGGGGCCGTTTTGTAAGATTTGGGTAGGTAAAGGAAAATTACAGTCAAAGGGGGGTTGTTCTCTGGCAGGAGTGGGGGTCACAAGGTGCTCAGTAGGGGAGCTTTTGAGCCAGGATGAGCCAGGAGAAGGAATTTCACAAGATAATGTCATCAGTTAAGGCAAGAACAGGCCATTTTCATTTCTTTTGTGGTGGAATGTCATCAGTTAAGGCAGGAACCAGCCATCTGGATGTGTACGTGCAGGTCACAGGAGATATGATGGCTTAGCTTGGGCTCAGAGGCCTGACACTTTGTGTCTGGCTTTTTTTCACTTAGGATAATGTTTTTGAGGTTCATCCAAGCTGTCACATGTATCAGTACTTCATTCATTTTTATGGTTGAATAATATTTTCTTTTATAAAACCAGTGACACTATATTTAATTATTAAATTTTTTAAATGAGTCTAGAGTTTAAAAGACAGTTTGTTAGGTGAAATTAAGTGATTTAGAAAGGAAAGAGAAAATAACAGAGGTAGTATATTAGAATAAGCTTCTAGTTGACAATATATAGCTAACATATGGATGAATAATATTTTCTGTTGTGTGTATATACCGCAATTTATTTATTCCTTCATCCAAGTGCTGTTTCCACTATTGTGAATAGTGCTTCCGTCAACGTAGGTGTACATATACTTGTTTGAGTACCTGTTTTCAATTCCTTCATTTGATTGTCCTTCATCAACTTATGGTACTGTATTCTTTTAGTCACTGGAGTTTAAAAACTGCATGGCATGTAGTAGGTGCTAAATATATGTTGGTTGAATGGATTTATTAAATTAATGTGTTGAATTGTTATCATTCTCTTCTTTCCCCTTTACCTCTTCTGTCTAATCACATGTTAATTCAATTATAGACTTAACTCTGCCACAAACTGTATAACATTGGGCAAAACACAACTATATGCTTAGTTTTATATGCTTAGTCTTCTGTAGACCTCTATAGGCCCTCTACATACTCAGTCTTCTGTAAAATGACTTTCTTGAACCACAAACATAAAGTCAAAGACAACCTGGGAAATACATCTTCACTTACAACAGAGGGCAAATATGAATTGCTCCTTGGAATTGGTAAGCAACCTAGAGAAAAATCAGCAGTCAGTTTACATTAAAAGAAATTCAAATGACCCTCAAGCATATGAAAATATGTTCAAATATACGTATAAAAGTCATGCAGATTAAAACTGTGCTAAAATATTTTTTCTCACCTATTGCCTCATTGTGTTGGTGAGGCTGTGGATAAATAAGTTTTTTCATACTCTGCTCCTGGGATAGTTATCTAAATTGCAAATGCATATACCCTTTGACCAGGCAATTCCATTTCTGGTAATTTATCCTAAAAATAAGCCTGCACAAGTGAAAAATGATATATATAGAAGGTTTTTTATGGCAGCAATATTTACAAAAACAAGGTTGGAAGCAACCCAAATGCCCATCAAAAGGAATCTGGTTTAAAAAATATGGTACATTTATACAATGGAAAACTAGGGAACTGTGAAAAGAATGACGATGGTGTCTATTAAAATGAAAATACCTTCAAGATGTATTGTTAAGTGAATAAGAGATGGGTTAAAAATAAGAGTATGTAAAATTAAGACTATAAATTGCTAAGAAAATTTAAAAAATAAACAAGGCCAGGTGTCATGGCTTACACCTGTAATCCCAGTAATTTGGGAGGCCAAAACAGGGGGATTGCTTGAAGCCAGAAGTTTGAGACCAGTCTGGGCAACAAAGCAAGACCCTGTCTCTACAAAAAAAAAAAAAAAAAAAAATTTAGCCGGCCATGGCAACGTGCACCTGTAATCCCAGCTTCTCAGGAGGTTAAGTCCAGGAGTTTGAGGCTGTAGTGAGCTATGATTGTGCCACTACCCTCTAGCCTGGACAACAGAGTGAGACCGTGTCTCTAAAAAAAACAGAAATAAAAAACCAAAAAGGTTAAGAATATAAAAACTTTCTAAAGACATATAAGAAACTAATAAAATAATTTATCCAGAGTGAGGGTAGAGGAAGGAATGATGCAGACTAGAGCAGAAGTAGGAGAAAGCTTTTATTATGTACCTCTTTATATTATTTTTTGAACCATCTGAATGCATTTTATGCAAAAATTTTAAGGTAAAAGTAAATTATTTTAAAAATGATGGCAGCAAAAAGGTTAATAGAAATAGACATGTTTGAGCAAGACTGGGAAATGGCAGAAAATTCCAAGGGAAAGAGATAGACATAAGGTAACTTCAAGTTTACAAAGGATATAATGCCATAGGCAACAAGCACCAGACAAATTACTCTAGTGCAAAGAAAAGTAATTAAACTGTGCAGCAACATTTAAACAGCTGAAGCATAAGTAAAATATTAGCACAGGAGAAGAGGCAGTAGAAGAATTAGATTTTATGTTTAACACATTAAAATGAAAAGATTTTAATTAAAGCTGTTATTTAAAGCTACAAAAACATTTTAAATGAAGAATATATATTGTAAATCACATCCATTCTTTATATATTCTCGACCTCTACTTCAGTCTTTCTATAAAACCAACACATGTACATTCCATCCATGTCAAGAAAAGTCATTTTTTATCTTAGTGACTTACATGGTGCAACATATGTATGAAAACAACTTTAGATCTGGGATTTGACTGTGTTATGTAAATGAACTAATATTGTTAAAGTGACAGTAGAACTCCCATAATCTTGTCTGAAGGTAACAGACTGCCATGTATCAAATATTGTCATTGTTTTTCTTCAACTCTTTTTGTTATATAGGTAAGACATGTTCACTGTAGCAAAAAAAAAAAAAATGGGTTTTGTGCCATTACTCATACCTTTTGCTTTAGTTAGTTAAACATTTTCAGTGGATACTACTAGGCATCTCTGTGGCTGTATCCACTCATTAGTCCATTTTAAAACAATTTAATAAGTGCCCATTCTACCACAAGCTATGTAGCGAATGGGTATCTGAAGAGTAAGCAAGTAGTGATAGTTTATGAGTTTTTGACTGTTGGTATGCTTCCAAAAGAAGGCACCAAAAGACATTTGTGATGCCCACATTACTTAGAAATGTAGGGAAATCTTAGTATTTGAAACTCTTATGTCCTAGAATCTTAAGAAACCTCTGGATTGAGATGGTGATGTTAGGCAGCTCTTGCAGTTGACTTCAATGCTAGCTAGGCTACTTTCTCCAAGCAGTGAGAAAGTCCTAAAGAGTCTTGCTTCATTTTATTCCAACTTCTGGAGTTTTTAAACCAGCATTGTTTGTGTTCTTCCATATGTAGAAACTATCTCTAAACCTATCCTCTCATTTTCCAGTTTAGAAGGTGCTTTCAGATATTTAGGATCTTATTAGTTACTTTCAAATTAGTATTCCAATCAAAACGAGTTGAAATAAAAACCTGTCTGTCCTTTAACACTTTGATTATAGTTTATGTACTTCTATTTACATGGGTAAAATGTATAGTCACTAGGAATAACATGTCAACACATCTTGATTGAAATCGCCACTTTGAATTTTTCTATCATGTTTCTAGTATGAAAAAAAACTTCATTTAGCTTCATAGTAGCTTCATAGCAGTTGGAATAGTTGTATATTATGTGTTTTCTGTATACATAAACTGAACTATAATTTGAAAAAGTTCTTCAAGGTCACCTTGTCACTTGCAGAGTGACAAATTATCCTGATTTGCTGATTCTCATCTTAGTGTTCCTGATACTGCTGCACTGGGAGAAAATTTACATACTTTCCTAAAGCTTACTTTCTCAGACTTCTTGTTCTTCTGGCCTTGAGTAATTCCCAGATCCAGTTTTCCTGTCAAACCTCCAAAGAAGTACTGAAGGGTTTCTTTCTCATAGGTCAGATTCAGGATTTGAACCCAAAGCTTCTTTCTTTAAATACACTGTTTTTTCTTTATCATACCTCTCAAACATAGTAGAGCAGCCTTGAAGATTTTGTTTTAAAATCTACATGGCTGTGGAATTTTGTTTTAAATATGATTATGTTTCCTACAATCATCTTCATTTTCTAATCATCTTCATCTCTTCTCTGACTCCCATTTTTACCAAGTCATGAAAATACAAGCATCTGCTTTCCATGAATAGATCAGAGATCTCACAAGCCTAGATTCCCATGGAAACCAATCAAAAACTAAAAGGAAAAGAAAGAGTATATATTGAATTTCGATGAAACCTACAGCTTGTTTTTCATTAGACTCATGCTGGTTTCTTTTAAACTCTGGGCACAGGGCCAGCAAATATTTTTATGGCTGGTAAAAAGGGACTTCAAATCCATTTACTTTCATTTAACCGTTTAAAAATTAATTTTGTATATAACATCAATTCTAAAGAAAATTTGAGCATTAATTTTCTAATTACCTTATGTCATAGGGCCATTATTTGTTTATGTAATTTCCTCTTCTTGTTTTTTCTCCTACCCATAGTTTATGACTCATAAAAGGATGAGAGGGAATCAGGATGATTATTATTCCTATAGTGTGAATATTGTCAACACTTGGGCACGACATTTTTCCTATGACCAATCATAGGACCAATAAAGGAGGTCTCTTTGTACCTCCTTTAGCTGTTAAGCTTTCACAAGGTGCAAATGATCATTTACAAATGTGACAACAGATGATAACTAAAATGCCAAAGTGAGGGGGATTAAGAGAACCAGAGAGGGGATGGCTGGGGAGGACAGGTTGTAATTTTAAATTAAGCAATCAAAATAGTATTCAGTGAGACAGGTTGTAATTTTAAATTAAGCAATCAAAATAGTATTCAGTGAGATGGTGACATGTGAAGCAAGACTTAAAGGAGGTGAGAACTTTAGCCATGTGAACACCTGAGGGAAGAGCATTCATTCCAGGCAGAAGAAACAGTCAGAACAAAGGCCTTCAGATGGGAGCATGCCTAGAATTTTTGCAAAATAACAAGAAAATTAGTATAAATTAGTCTTCATGCCTTTAATCCCAGCACTTTGGGAGACCAAGGCGGGAGGGTCACTTGAGCCCAAGAGTTTGAGACCAGCCTGGTCAACATAGGGAGACTCCATCTCTACAAAAAAATTTTTAAAAATTCGCCAGGCATGGTGGTGCATGCCTGTGGTCCTAGCCACTCAGGAGGCTGAGATGGGAGTATCACTTGAGTCCAGGAGGTTGAGGCTGCAGTAAGCCATAATCACACCACTGCATTCCAGCCTGGACAACAGAGTGAGACCCTGTCTAAAAAAATAATAATAAATATATATATACCTTATAATGAATGAGCAAAAGGAAAGCGCTAAGAGATGAAGAAAGAGAAAGAATGGTGGCCTGATCCTGTAGGGCCTTATAGGCCATTGTCAAGAATATGTTTTCACTCTGAATGAGATGAGGAGGGTTTGAGGAAAGACGTGACATGGTCTGACTTATGTATTTATAAAAGAATCATTCTGGCCAAGTGAAGACATTTTCCTCCAGTTTTAGTACTATCTATTCCTTCACCCATTCCTCATATAATATGCTTTCAAGTTTCCTTCTCATCCTGATCATTTTCACCAGATATGCACATATTTGTCTAAATTCCCTTGAAAATGTGATACCTACAACAGAATACAATGCCAGTCTGATGAGCTCAGAGTGTTACATGACTATAACTGTTGACATTTTAGCAACAAAATACAGCTGATTCATATTTAAGATTTTTCAAATAAAAACTCTAAATCTGCTTTATACTTACAACTGCCTAAACTACGTCCTATATTAATATGGCCGTGGTTGTTGGACCCAAAGGCAGCATCTTATTGTATCCATATTTTGAACTTTCCCAGACATACTTAGGTAAAATTGACCATTGTATCCTTTGTTCCTCCAGTACCTTGTGTACTCAACCACTGTTATACCACCTTTTACACTGAAATATATTTATTTGTTTACATGTTTTATTTCTCCACAGATGATGAACATCTTAATATGTAAGAGTGTCTTAGTCATCTTATTTCCAATATCTAGTAGTACTTAACGACACTCAATCAATGCTTGCTGAATTGAATTGGGTTCATCATGTAACCTACCCAGGTCCTCTTGATTCTTGAGTCGGCCATTCAGTATAGTTGTCATCTCTCCCACTTATGAGTCACCAAGATTCTCATCCTAATCTTTGATATTAAAATAGATACTGCTTATAGAAAACCTTAATCATTGAAACACTAGTACTAAAATAAACTTCACTAATTTAAAAAGTTGTTTTATTCATTTATTATACTTGTCTAAATTATGTCGTCAGTATTAACTCAGCCTCTTGAAAAATTTTGTATAATCTATCAGAATCCACTTGCTCACCATTCCAATTCTGATGGGTATGTCATTCATTTATTCATTCATTCATTTGTTCAACAGATAAATTTTTAGTATTTAATATGTATCAGGCATTACACTATATCTCAAAGTATTTTAAATTCAACCTTTGTCTAAATATGTGGTCTTTCAGATTTTATAATAGTAAAATTAACATTTCACCAATATAACTACTCATTTTCAGGCAATTTATTAGACATATACTCATAGTTTATCTTAAACAATTACAGATTTCAGAAGATATGGTTTGGGTCCTTTTATTCAAGTCTTTCCTGTCACTTTGTCAGTCATCTCTTTTCAAGCCATTTTCTTTTAAGGAATTTGGGCTGAAATATTAGACTGTACTTTGAAGTAATGACTGTAAACTTCATGTATGTAACTTTGGTTATTTCAGTGTTGTACAGATTGTTAACTAATTGTGTGTGTGTGTGTGTGTGTGTGTGTACAGGTGCACACAGGTGCATGCTTTAAATTGTTATTTAATTGGATTATAATGCTTACACATATTGTAAAATGTTAAACATACCAAGAAGGTTTGCAGTGAAGAATCTCGGTGTAAGGAAAACTTTCTATCTGCAAGTCAAAATATAGAAGTGATAGGAAAAAGACTAATAAATATGGCTACATAGTGATAAGAAAGACTTTTTCCTTCCAGAAAATGTGGCAAGCAAAGTTAAAAAAAAAAAAAGACAAATTGGAAACAATATTTGCAAATTATATCATTATCAAAGGTTTAATACTCCTCATATATAAGGTGGAGAAGAAAAAGACCAATGATCCTATAAAAATGAGTAAGAGTATATCTAGATAGTTCACAGAAAAGGAAATGGCCCTTCAATATATGAAAATATGCTCAATATTGTTCGTCATAAAAGAAATACAAATTAAAATCACAAAGAGATAACATGCTTCATGTCTCAGATTGGCAAAACTCCAAAAGTTTGACAACATGTTCTGATGGCAAAACTGTAGGGAAATGAGCATTCACATATCCCTGAAGGAAATGGAAATGGTTTCCTTAGCCTGTTTTGTGTTGCAATAACAGAATACCACAGACTGGGTAATTTATAAGGAAGGAAATTTATTTCTCCCAATTCTGGAGACTGGGAAGTCCAATATCAAGTTATCAGCATCTGCTGAGGGACTTCAAGCTGTGTCATTCCACAGTGGAAAGCAGAAGGACAAAAGAGGGCAAGAACAAGTGAGGGAAAAGGGGGACCAAACTCACTTATATCAGGAACCTACTCCCATGAAAACAGCAGTAATCCATTCATAAGGGCAGAGCCCCAATGGCCTAATCACCTGTTAGGGATCCCACCTCGATACTGTCATAACGATGATTAAATTTCAACATGAATTTTGGAGGGACATTCAAACCATAGCATTGGTATAACGCTTATGGAGGGAAACATAACAATATCCAGCAAAATTAACCAGAATATGCATTTACCTTTGATCTGTCACTTCTGGGAATCTATTCTATACATATGTGGTAAAAACAAGAAATGTATACACAGGGTTATTTAATTGCAGCATTATTTGTAGTAGAGAAAGCTTGAAAGCAAATGCACTTTTTTTGTTGTTTTTGTTTTTGAGACAGGATCTCACTCTGTTACCCAGACTGGAGTGCAGTGGCACAATCATGGCTCACTGCAATCTCGACATTTTTGGGCTTAGTGAATCATCCCACCTTAGGCTCCTGAGTAGCTGGGATTATAGGTGTGTGCCACCACAACCGACTAATTTTTTTTTTTTTTTTTTTTTTTTTTTTGTAGAGATGGGTTTTCACCAAGTTGCCCACACTAGTCTCAAACTTGGGCTCAAGCCATCTGCCCTCTTCAGCCTCCCAAAGTGCTGGGATTACAGGTGTGTCCACCGTGCCCTGCCTGCAAATGTACTTTTAGAGAGCTGGCTACATAAAAAGAGTATATTCACACAATGGAATGCTATGCATCTGTAAGAAGTAATGAGAAATGTTTTTATATAACATTATAAAATGATCTGGAATGAAAAAAGCAAGCGCAGAATATTGTGTATGATATTCTCTATTTTATATATAACTATGAAGTGACCTCCAGGTTTATTGTTAAGAGAAAAAAGTAAGGTGCTAAAGAGCATGTGTAACCTTTTTTCCAGGAAAGAGGAGAAAAATATTTTCTTATATTTTTAAAAGATAGAAGAGTAAATGAAAAATGAATGAAGACTCTTACCTAAAGGGAGAAGGAGATAATGTAGAGGACACAGGGATCGAAGCTAGTCTTATCTGAGTATATCTTGTTCTATAGTTTTGATTTTGGAACTTCGTAAATTATTTCCATAATTATAAAGTTTAAGTGTCTACAGCCTGGATGCAGTGGCTCACGCCTGTAATCCCAGCACTTTGGGAGGTCAAGGTGGGCGGATCACTTGAGGTCAGGAGTTCAAGACCAGCCTGGCCAACATGGTGAAACCCCATCTCTACTAAAAATACAAAAATTAGCAGCCAGGCCTGGTGGCACAGTAATCCTAGCTACTCGGGAGGCTGAGGCACAAGAATTGCTTGAACCCGGGAGGCAGAGGTTGCAGAGAGCCGAGATAGTGCCATTGCACTCCAGCCTGGGCAACAGAGTGAGACTCCATCTCAAAAAAAAAAAAAAGAAAATGAGCAGTCCTTAAAGATTGATAGACAAATAAAACAAAGACACCTGTGTATTAAGTTGGTAGCTTAACTGCAGAGAGAATTATTCAAGTGAATTTATTATTTTTTATTTTTATTTTTTATATTTTGAGATGGAGTCTCGCTCTTTCACCCAGGGTGGAGTGTAGTGGTACAATCTTGGCTCACTGCATCCTCCACCTCCCAGGATCAAGTGATTCTCCTGCCTGCACCTCCCTAGTAGCTGGGATTACAGGCACGCACCACCATGCCCAGCTAATTTTTTGTATTTTTAGTAGAGATGGGGTTTTACCATGTTGGCCAGGCTGGTCTCAAACTCCTGACCTCAAGTGATCCACCCACCTTGGCCTCCCAAAGTGCTGGGATTATAGGCGTCAGCCACTGGGCCCAGCCCAAGTGACTTTAAAACATAGTAAATTTGACTCTGCAGTCCTGGTAGGAAACATCCTAAGGACAAAGACAGCTACAAAGAAATCCTAAAATGTGTTCAGTAAACATACTGTTAGTAATAATACTGTTACTGTTATCTTGACACAACACAAATAAGTGGATCACTATATAAAGGTAAGATGAAGCAAGTGAATATGTCAATTTCATTAGTAACCAAGATTTTCAATAAGAAGTATACAAATATAAACTATTGATATATGTGTCTGCTAAAAATTTATATTTCTGAATTTCATAGCACTAGCTACTGAAAAAGCCTAGAAGTAATGACTAACCCCATGAAGGATCACCTCCATCACCCAGATTGTGTCTCTCAATACCACTAAAAGGAATCAGAACTCCTTAGAGAAGTGGCTGCTTAGAAATTGGGACAAGTAATATATGAAATGAGCCTGGCTCATCTGGTCATGCTGGATGGCAAGATATCTAACAAAGCCTACTGGAGTCATGTCAAAGGGCCACAGAAGCCGTGTTAAAGGAGCTTCCAAAGATGGACAATTTGAGTAGCAAAAATACAGTTGCTTCAATGGAAACAAACATGTTAAAACTCCATGAGTTAGGAATACTTTTTTTTTTTTTTTTTTTTTGAGACAGGGTCTCACTCTGTCTCTCAGTCTGGAGTGCAGTGGTGCGGTCTCGGCTCACTGCTACCTCTGTCTCCTGGGTTCAAGCAATTCTCCAGCCTAAGCCTCCCAAGTAGCTGGGTTTAAAAGCATGAGTCACTGCACCTGGCTATTTTTTTTGTATTTTTGGTAGAGATGGGGTTTTGCCATGTTGCCCAAAGTGGTCTCTAATTCCTGACCTCAAATGATCTGCCTGCCTCAGCCTCCCAAGGTGCTAGTGTATTTAAAATACAGTTGTTTTTATGTGTTTCAGTTTAACTTCCCCTCCTTCCCATCCTTATTGATTTAACTTTTTCAAAAGTTGAAACTACATGAAAAGATAGGTTTACAAGTTTCAGTCACTTCCATGTCCTGTCTGTCTCATTTTCCCTGTCTTTTGAGGACAATCAACTATATTGATTTCTGGTTTACCCTTCATATGTTTCATATATGTATGTTTCCTTGTTGCCTCTTTTTCTTCTAATATATGCTCTTGTGCTTCAGATAGTATTAAGATTTTTAAACCAGATAAAAAAGGAAGAAAAAAGCAGTAAAAGTTTACATGTTCCTTGACTCTAGATTCTGTGACTAGAAATGGACCTTATAAACCACTCAAACTAATATATATGTATATATACATATATATATATACACACACACACATATATATATAGGGATATTCATTCATCATTGTTTATAATGGCAAAATACAGGTAAATTATTCATTGTTAAATATAATCTATTTTTCATACAGTGGAATACTTTTTAGCCACTTTAAAAAATTAATCTATATGTACTATCATGGAAAGATCTCCAGGGTATACTGTTAACTGAAAAAAAAGCTAGCTGCAGAAGAATATGTATAGTAGAAACCTGTTTTTATAAATAAATAATTTTTAAAATAACCACAGTTATACATATGTATCATATAGATTGCAAAAATTTAAAGAAATAGTAAAAATTTCTTTTTTTTCTTTTTTTTTTTTTTTGAGGCAGAGTCTCACACTGTTGCCCAGGCTGGAGTGCAGTGGCACAATCTCGGCTCACTGCAAGCTCCGCCTCCTGGGTTCACGCCATTCTCCTGCCTCAGCCTCCCAAGTAGCTGGGACTACAGGCGCCTGCCACCACGCCTGGCTAATTTTTTTTGTATTTTTAGTAGAGACGGGGTTTCACCGTGTTAGCCAGGATGGTCTCGATCTCCTGGCCTCGTGATCCGCCCGCCTCGGCCTCCCAAAGTGCTGGGATTACAGCGTGAGCCACCGTGCCCGGCCAAGAAATAGCAGAAATGTCTTATAGTGGTATTATGAGAAAACTCATAGTTTAAATTATAGGAAAACATTTTCACAAGAGGCATGCATTATTTTAGTCTGAAAAAAGTTCAAAAACAGACTTTTTAAAAATTCTAAATTTTATTTTGAGCCAGACTTTCCTGCCACCCTTCAATGGTGACAATTCCTTGCAATTCCTGCAGTTCCTTACATGTTTTATTTTCTTTGAAATTTAACTGAGTTTCAGATCTTTGGCTTCAAAGAGGAGACTAAATCCTGTTTTCCTTCATTTCCCAAATCATTTTTCATTATCTCCTACAACAAAATGCTACCTTTTCTGACACTTTTATGGTCTCCTTTTAAATGTTTCTAATGCAGAAGAAGCTTACTTGTTCTCACCACCCATTTGTTAAATTTATTTTCATATCTCTTAGTATTTCTTAATGTGGTGTATATCACAGAACATTTGTCACTCAATAAGGGCATAGCATATCCAATTTTTCATTCCAGTTTTTATTATTCTGCCATCTGTATTGCTTTTATTTGGGAAGTTTCCTATTTGTAAAGAATGATAGTTTTTCTTTCCTCTTAGTAGATCTATCTTGTTTATATTCTCATGTTTAGTGAAGACCTCATAGGATATATTTTAGCTGATCAGGGGAATTCTATTATCTCTTTTCTGTAGCATAAATATTACATTCCATTCTTAAAATATTGATTTGATTGGTAATGCAAAAAGCTTTAGCACTCCAGAAAAAAATATATTTTCATTTATAACTTTCAATGACAGAGTTCTTATTACACTTCAATTCTCTAAGTATATTGAATAAAGAGTAGAGAATTGTTCTTGGAGTTGGACCTATATTGATTCTAGTCCCTGCTCATTTATTTATTAGCTCTGTGACATTTATCTCTTTAATTCTGAGTTTCCTCATCTGAAAATGAGAATAATAATGATACCTATATTACCACATTCCTATGAGAATGAAATGAACTGGTGCCCACAAACTTCTTACTTAGCTCAGTTCCTGGCACCAAAATAGTGCCCAGTGAATATTAACTATTATAATTATCATCTAGTCCATGCTCTGGACTAAATACTTTGGGGAATACAAAGGTGAGCAAAGTTAACTCTGATGGAGTAGATGAGCTGTATTTATGCTATAGTTTGAATATTTGTCCCCTCCAAATCCCGCGTTGAAATTTGATCCCCAGTGGTTGGAAGAGGGGCCTAATGGGAGGTGTTTGGGTCATGGGAGCAGATCTCTCATGAATGGCTTGGTGCCAGAGGTAATGAGTGAATTCTCGCTCTATTAGTTCATGTGATAGCTGGTTGTTTAGAAGAGCCTGGCATCCTTCCCCGTTCTCTCTCTCCCTCTCTCTCTCTTGCCTGCTGTCTACCATGTGACATAGCTGCTGCTCCTTCACCATCCCCCATGATTAGAAGCTTCCTGAGGTCCTTATTAGAAGCAGATACTGGCACCATGCATTTAGTAGAGCCTGCAGAACCATAAGCCAAATAAACCTGTTTTTTAAATAAATTGCCCAGCCTCCGGTATTCCTTTATAAAAATACAAATGGACTAAGACAATCTACAAAGAATTCAAGTATAAGGTAGAATGCATATGTGCTAGAGAAGAATACAAACAAAATGGTATGGAAAGATAGAGGAAGGGAATATTCAATGAGAAGTTTTAGGGAAGGTTTCATGAAGGAGAGAGAATTTGAACTAGATATTGAAAAATCAGAATTAATTTTCAAAGGCTTGGAGATAAATAGTATATTCTGCAGAGATAACCAAGTAAATGACATACAGATAGTCAATGGCTCTGAGTGGCTCTACTAGCTACATCTTTTTATGTTAATAGGTTTTTTACTTTTTTCAGAGAAAATTATATCCAGCATTTTTAATCTTTAGACTAATAACACCAGGTAGACACAAAGCTATTCCTGGAACATTGCTTTATTATAGATAGGAATTCCATAACCAATTACCTCCTATTTGCTAGAACACACTAACACAAATACATAAAAAATACAGACTAAACTATAATAGAAGGCAGTTTTCTCTGGTGTTTGTAGCACCTCTCTTCTACTAATTTAAAATATCTTCATCACTGAGGATGCCTCCTATTAAAATGTTATATCTGAGTTATACTAATAACTATGAAATTACCAGGTGTCTCTGCTTGAGTAGTTGGAATTAATTTTTTTGCCTCATAACTCTGGAGACTTCTCAGAAAGTGTAGCTAAAGGTTTATTCATCAAAATCCCCTTCTAATGAATCGACTCTGATGATTCTGCTGTTGTCAGAATGGATGTTCTAGGAAGTTGTCATCACACTTGACCGTAATGAAAATGCTGCCCTGGACCATCTCCCCAAACTATGTGTCCTCAGTATTGTGGGAAGAACCCACTTCATGATTTCTAACCAGGGTAGCCTCTGGAAGTACAAATGATTGCTGTAAAATTATGAACAGAGCAGCATCAGGCTTTGCTCTGATGTATCTTATGAAGCCTTTCTACTTCCAAATGAAGACTATGAAGAGAACCTTGAAACAATGCCCTTCTGGGAGCTCATTCAGCAAGCATATTCTGAGGGCATATTCTGTTCCACTCTCTACGCATGGAGGATTCTTGTGGTGAGGAAGACATTCTTCATTGGTTTTAAAGAGCTCACCATTTAGCACAGTCAGCCGCTGAGACAGGACTGCTAGATAACTACAGAGGTTATGCATTGCACCATTTGTACACCTCGTACAACCCTATGAGGTAGCCCTCAGGGTTCAAATGGAATGCATCTATATTTTGAATACAGAGTGATATATAATAACAAGAAATCCTGGATGTCTAATTGACTGTCTTCCCAAACAGCATAGCAGATTACCTTTTTAGTCTCATCATTTATGTGCAGATTATGAAACACATTTATTAGTCAATAGAGTCCCTTCCTGCATTTATACATTCTCCTCATAACTCAGTTGTTCTACTTCACTTCCATAAGGCTGACTTGCAAGTCTGAATTTATAGT
The DNA here is from genome assembly GCF_000001405.40 of Homo sapiens. Classification (NCBI taxonomy): domain Eukaryota; kingdom Metazoa; phylum Chordata; class Mammalia; order Primates; family Hominidae; genus Homo; species Homo sapiens. Next base: position 100,160,593 of record NC_000009.12, read on the forward strand.
TGTGTTCTCTTTCCTAAATTTAGTTCAGTTATCTCCCTCCATAATTTACATTTAAATATCCCACTGTAACCTAAAACATAGCTTCCTTTGTTAATTTCCCCGTTGTTACGAAGAAAAGTATTATTCCTCAGTAATTTGGGCTCAAAATATTACCCTAATCTTTGACTCCTTCTGTCTTCCTCAGTCCCAAGACACATCAAAGGCTGATCAAAGTTAGCCGGGCATGGTGGTGGGCACCTGTAACCCCAGCTACTCAGGAGGCTGAGGCAGGAGACTCACTTGAACCCGGGAGGCGGAGGTTGCAGTGAGCTGAGATCACACCACTACACTCCAGCCTGGGTGACAGAGTGAGACTCTGTCTCAAAAAAAAAAAAAAAAAAAAAAGCTCTGTTGATCTTGTTTGTCAATCATCCCACATTTATTGTTTTCTTCCCATTCCCTTTACTACCATTTAGTCTAGGCAGTTGTCTTCTTATGACAAAAATTTCATAAATTGGCTGGGCATGGTGTAATCCCAGCACGCCTGTAATCCCAGCACTTTGGGAGGCCGAGTTGGGGGGATCACCTGCAATAAGGAGTTTCAGACCAGTCTGGCCAACATGGTGAAACTCTATCTGTACCAAAAATACAAAAATTAGCTGGGTGTGGTGGTGGGCACCTGTAATCCCAGCTATTCGGGAGACTGAGGCAAGATAATCGCTTAAACTCAGGAGACGAGATCGCACCACTGCACTCCAGCCCAGCCTGGACGACAGAGCAAGACTTCCATCTCAAAAAAAAAAAAAAAAAAAAAAAAAAAACCTCATAAATTGAGTGTTGTGCTCCAAAAGAATTTGAATATGATCTACTTTAATTTTGTCAGTCTGCCAGAAGTGGGCCTTATAATTCGTTCCTTAGGAGAACTCACGAAAGGTAGGAAATTGAGGAAATTTGGGTGTTAGGAAGGTTTTGAAGTTAGTTTACAAAGAACATAATTGGAGCCCCAGTGACTAAGACCATAATGCTGTTGAGTGGCTGGCCAGATGGATGGATGGATGGATGGATGGATGGATGGGTGGGTGGATGAACATCAATTTTCTAGACCTTGGGGCAGAAGGTTAGGATTGGATTGCAGGAGCAAGACAGAAAACTGAATTACATTATCTGGTCAGGCTTCGCTTAGGTTGATTTAACTCTTGCTAATCTCACTAATGAGTTAGACTTAAATCTTGCCTTGATTAGAGTCAAGGTAAGCCCCAAAACTGAAGGAAGGAGAGCATACCCTACAGATAGAGAACTTCAACTGGGAAAATTGGAAGGTCACAAGGACCCCAGAAGATAATTATCAATCCCATTCATTGTTTGTCAACTAAAAAAACTTCAAACTAAAACCTCCAGAGTAATAAACAGTTAGACTTCCTGCAAGGAGCATCTCACACAGAAGATAGAGCCTGGAAGAAAAGGCTGGGAACTGACATGAAGCACCATGTAGGCCACAAAAAGGAGCCGGAAATAATAGACTAAATGGTATAATAATAAGTAACGGGCTGGTAGCACAATCAACTAGAGTTCAGAAATGCAGTCTATGCTCTAACTGATTTCCTTTCCTGAAATATTTCATATTTGCTTGGGTGGCTCTATAGTCATTTGGGTCCATCATGGAAATTTGTATCATTAATACACATTTTCTGTTAATACGAATAACATAAAAGTGGCTTAGATGACAAGCACATCTATTATTTTACACATCAAGCAGTCTTACATAACAAGAGGTAATATCCAGGGTTGATTAACTCAGTGGCTCAATGATATTAGCAAGGACCTGGGTTTTTAAATCTTTATTCTCCGCTGTAATCAGGATGTTGGCTTATACTCTTAAGCTAGCTTTCCTTGGAGTTAATTTCAAGGTGGCTGCCTAAATTTCAGGCATTGCATATAGACCACAATATCTAGAAGCAGAAAAATCAAATACCCGTATCTTGTTTATCTTTTCAACATGGAAAATCTTCTCAGAAGCCCTGTGGCAGATGCTCTTTCCATTCCTTTGATTCCCAGGCCTAATCCTATCCCTTGGCAAGGAAAATGAAAACTTCCTGATTGCTATGTCATTCAAAGTCACCTTGGCGGGCACCAGTAATCCCAGCTACTCAGGAGGCTGAGGCAGAGAATTGCTTGAACCTGGGAGGCGGAGGTTGCAGTGAGCCGAGATCATGCCACTGCACTCCAGCCTGGGTGACAGAGCAAGACTCCATCTCAAAAAAAAAAAAAGTCACCTTCTGAGTTTGGCAAGGACCCAGCCTTCTCTGAAGGACATATCTACTTAAAAGGAGACCAACCAATATCAGGGTTCTGTTGGCCTAAAAGCCTAGAAGAGGATGGGCATATATATTAGCCAGGCAATCCATGGTGTCAGCCACAATGTCTGTTGGACACTTACAGAGCCTTGTGAACCTAACTACTTTCAAAAGCAATGGCCATAGGCTGTAGGTCACCTTCATGGAATTCCATCTAGTGGCATTGCCCTTTAGCTCTAGGCTACAAGAAAACCAGCTCTACAGACTCTTTCTTGCCACTGGGGTGACCCTAACTTTTACCCTAACTTGATGTTCTTTCTATTTTTTTTTTTTTTTTTTTAGCAAATGTGCATATTTCCTCCCAAATGCTCCCAAATGAGGAAACAGTCAAATCACTTAGCTGTTCCAGTAACAAACGCGGGCACCACCTCACATGTTGTTACCCCACAAACTTAACTGAGAAGTGTAGTGATAAAAAGCAATCATCTAGTCTCTGAATTCAGAATTTAAAAAGCAATGATCTGAAAATTGAAAGAATTCATTTAATAACAAGATATTTATTGAGCACCTACTAATCATAAGGTACTGCTCTATATATGTGGGATATAGCAGTGAACAAAACAAAACAAAAATCCCTGACTTCAAAGATCTTACATTTTGTTGGTGGGAAACAAACCAATAAACAAGCGAATACATTTTTAAAGTATATATTATATCAGATGGGGATACATGCTATGGAAAAAAAATAAGACAGGTGAGGGTGATAGGGAGTGTAGGGATTTGCAAATATAAATAGGGTGATCAGGGTAGACCTCACTTAAGAAAGTAATATTTAAGCAAATACTTAAAGATTATGAAGGAACAAACCTTTCTGGGAGAGAATATGCCAAGTGCAAGGTCCAGAAATGGGCACGTGCTTTGTATTTACAAGAAACAGTTAGCAAGGAGGCCACTGTGGCTCTAGTCAAGTAAGGATGAGTTCAGAGATCACAGAAGGCCTGTATGCTATTTAATGATTCTACTTTTACGCTGCACAAGAGGGTATGGTTATTGAAGTGTTTGAGCACAGAAAATATGATCTAGCTTATATTTTGAAAGGTTCATTCTAACTGCTGTGTTGAGGATGGACTGTCAAAGGATGAAAGCAGAAGAGAGACTAATTAGGAAGCTGAGAGTTGATGTTGGCTTGGACCAGAATGGTAGTGGCAGAGGTGGTTAGAAGTCCAATTTTATTTTTTTCTAATTTGTTTATTTTAATTGACAAAAATTGTATATATTTATGTGTACAACATGATGTTTTGAAATGTGTATACATTCTGGATTGACTAAATTAATTATGAGGTAGTACATATGTTAATTATATATAACTACCTCATATTTATACATGGTGTCAACACTTAAAATCTACTCTCTTAGCAATTTTCAAGCACATAATACATTGTTATTAACTCTAGTCACCGTGTTGTAGCCAATATTAAATATATCTTGAATTTTCTGCAAATTATAGATGTGAAAGGAAGAGTCAATGACTTTGACACTAAGTTTTTTTTTTAAGCCTCATTTTTTAAAATGTTTTCTTAAGGAGAACTTCAAACATATTCAAAAATAGAATAGTAAAATGACCCTCCATGTATCATCACTCAGCTTCAGTAATTACCAGGTCATGCTAATCTTATTTCCTGTATTCCTTCATTAACTTCTCCTCTTCCCATGTTAAAGCAAATCTCAGATATTGCAGGGATATCATTATATCAATATGTATTTCTAAGAGGAAATGACCTTTTAAAATGTAATCATGATAGTACTTTTCAAAAAATGTAACAAGAATCACTTAATATCATAGTATCATAAAATGGCCAATTGATGTTCCAATTACCATTGTCTCATAAATGTCATAAATGTTTTTGTTTATTTACACATGTTTGAATTGGATTCCAAATAAGAGCTATATATTGTGATTGGCTGATATGTCAAGTCTTTTTTAATCTATAGTTTCACCCTCCATCTCTCTTTGTTTCTTTTGGCTTTTTCTTTTTTTTTTTTTTTTTACAACTTTTTGGCTATTGTGGCTTAACCCCTGCCCTAACTTGATGTCTTAGTCTAGACTGATTGCCTCAGTAAGATGATTCTCCCTTCAGGTGTGATAAACCTATTCCTCAGTCCTATGTATTTCCTGTAAATTAGCTGTTGGATCTAAAGACTTGATCTGATTATTGTTCAATTTTTTTTTTCTTTTTTAAATTTCTCATTTTTATGGGTATTTAGTAGGTATATGTATTTATGGGGTACATGTAATGTTTTGATACAGGCATACAATGTGTCATAGTCATATCAGGGTAAGTGGGGTATTTATCACCTCAAGCATTTATCATTTTTTGTTAGAATTACTGTTCAATTTTTGGCAAACTGTTTTATTATTATGGTACATTCATTCTTAGGAGGGACATAATGTTTCACTGTGTCTGTTTTTATGATGTTAACAATTAGTGGTGCTCAGTGCCTAGAGCCCATTGTTCATTAGGAGTTGCAAAATGCTGATACTTTAATTCTACCATCTATCCTACAGTTATTAGCTGGAATAATTCATTAAAGAGAAACTTCCCCATATCTACTATTAGATTACTCAATGGTACAGTTCATATAGGAAAGGAAGGATGAATGCTTGATTCTCCCTCTTTATTTACCAATTTTTAAAATAATGAATTGGTTTCCTGGCATCCTCCTAGGATAATCAATTAATTTTTTTTCATTTTTAATATCATTATGAACAAGGCCTAGAATTTTTTAGTATCATTTTAACATATTTACTATATCAATCCATTGAAGTTATTATCCTTAATTAGTATTCAAATTACTCTGTTTTTGGCCTGTGGGAGGCCTGTCAAGTAGACTTCTTGATCCATTTGACATGAGCCTAGTATTTGATAGCTTACTTGCTATCTGCTATGTCCAAATATTCCAGATTCATTTCTATATTTTTTGTTTTAGACCTGGAATCAGCTATTTCTCCAATAGCTTTACTTTTAGTAGGAAAAAGTATTTGGAGAACACAATCTAGGATCTAGGGTGCTCACTGCTACCAGGTTGGTGATTGTTTCTAGGCTTTTATAGTGGACAGAGCTTGCGGATTTTTTTAAGCAATAAAAATATTTCATCACTTCCTATTCTAATTCTGGGCTAAAAGGTTTTAAACTTAACCTCTTCTTACATCTCTACTCCTTTTGCTCACCCAGTCAAGAATGATAGAATATCACATTGTCTAGATGAAAAACCTGAGATGCAAGAGCTTGAGTAATTTATCATTAAATGGCAGAACCAGGGTTCAAATATGTATCTGTTTGACTCTAAAGTCTGTGCTTAAAGTCATCTTTAGAAAATTTGTGTTTAGCCAGAGCTCCTTTGGGAAGCCTAGGCAGGATGAGGGGTTGAGCCCAGGAGTTCAAGACCAGCCCTGGCAACATAGGAAGACCCCATCTCTACAAACAACAACAACAAAACAAAACAAAAACTAGCCAGGCATGGTGGTACATGCCTGTTGTCCCAGCTACTCAAGAAGCTGAGGTGGAAGGACCACTTGAGCCTGGGAGGTCAGGGCTGCTGGGAGCCGTGCTCCCACCACTGTACTCTAGCCTGGGCAAGAGAATGAGACCTTGTTTAAGAAAAAAAAGAAGCCACAGATCCCTTGCTGCAAGGCGTAGCATTTTTAGCAGAACTGCCAGGTAGAGAATTCAATTCAACTAACACACACTGAGCACCTATTAATATTTTTATACAAAGTCCTGTTCACCTGTATGATACTGGTGTCTATTAACAAATTTGATTTGTTGATTTATCTACAAACCTAGATTTATCCAGAATGCAACCACTTTTCTCAACATTCCCTTTACCACCACTTTGGTCCTAGCCACCATCATGTTGGGTTAGATTATTGTAGTAACCTTGCTTGGATAATTATAATAGTGTCCTAACTGGTCTCCTGGTTTCTGCTCTTGCCCCCTGCAGTCTATGCCCAACATATCAACCAGAATGATCCTTTAAAACTTAAGTCAAAGCATGTCAGTCCTCTGCTCCAGACCCTTTAAAGGATTTTCCAGTTGAGCGCAGTGGCTTACACCAGCACTTTGGGAAACCAAGGCAGGCAGATCACTTGAGGTTAGGAGTTCAAGACCAGCCTGGCCAACATGGCGAAACCCCATCTCTACTAAAAATACAAAATTTACCCAGATACGGTGGTGTGTGCCTGTAGTCCCAGCTACACCAGAGGCTGGGGTACAAGAATCACTTGAACCTGGGAGTTGGAGTTTGCAGTGAGCCAAGATCACTGCACTCCAGCCTGGGTGGCAGAGGGAGACTCTATCTCAAAAAAAAAAAAAGATTTTCCATCTCAGAGTAAAAGACTAAGTATTTCCTGTGATCTATCAAGCCTTTTATTTCATGTTCTGAATTCTGTTGTTTGTATGACCTTATTTCTAATCTTCCACATATTTCCTCCACATACACCACTCTGACCTCAGTGCTGTTCCTCTAGTAGGTGAGTCAAGCTCTCACCACAGGTTTTTGCATTTGTTCTTCCCTCTCCTAGGAATGCTGTTCCAGTAGGAATCTCTGTGTTGAACTCCCTTGCTTTCATTAGTTTCTTATTCAAGTCACTGTCTCAGTGAACCCTTTTCTGGCAATCCTATCTAATACCCACCTCACCTCACACATTGTATTCTCCCTACTCTGCTTTATGTCTTTTCTTAGCACTTAACACTATCTAAAATACTATATATTTTACTTATTTATCTTGCTTATTGTCTTTTGCCCCACTATAATATAAACTCCCTGAAGTTGGGGTTTTATTTTTGGTCTGTTTATTCACTAATTTATCCCCATTGCCTAGAACTAGTAGTTGGTGCTCAAAAAATATTTGTTGAATGAATGAGTGTACTTCTAAAGTTATAGCTTTAATAATTCTCCCAGGTGATCCACGATTTCTTACATGATGCATATATTGTGGGCAAAAAACATACTATGAGATTCCAGTTGTCTAATATTAGAATATTTTTAAAGGAAGAATAATCCTGTTTTGCTATCTTTCTTTTTCTTATACAATCCTTCCTCCCCACCCCAGCGACTCCTGCTTGTACTTCATAGAATATTTCCTCTCTTGGAACTAGATATTTCTTTCTCTTTTCTTTCTTTTTTTTTCTTCTGGTTAAATAGCCACAGACTGTCCATTTGAGCTGACTCTTGCTGGAAAGTGAGTCAGTGCAGCCTAGTGGAGAGCAGAGGCTGGAGCATTTGCATCTCCAGAATGTTTGTATTGACAAATGGCAGTCAGTTATTGACATTTTTATCCCTTGGTGATACTTCAATTGGCTTATCTTTGCTGGTCAAATGCCTTAATTGTTCTGGCCTTTAATTCAGTCAAAGTTGGAGCTAGAGCAGAGGGGAAAGAGAAGGAGCCAGACTAACAGAACATCAAGCTTGAGCTGGGAGGCTGCTGGCAACGATCAGCCTGTCATAATGTTATGATTTGTTCATTTTTATACCATTTATTAGCCTTTACTTGTTGTGCCATTTGGCCTCCAGGGCAGATAAAGTGCTGTCTAATTTGGTAGGTTTGCTTCTGTCAGAGCAGCCTCGACAGGGAAGGTGTTAGCTGCAGTGACAAATAATCAATAGCTGTCGTTGTCATGAGGAACGTGAGCAGTTGGGCCTTTCATCTGGAGGATTAGAGGTCTAATTGGATTGAGAATAGGGAGGGTGGGCTGTTGGGTAACCCTGTCAGCCTTGTGAAGCTGTCAAATATCGGCCTTATTCATGGTGAAGGGAATAAGGAACCTTGTGCTTTCAGAACTGAGGAGAAAGGCATGTGAAAGCCCTTTATACAAAGGAATAGCTCCTGAAGTTGATTCAGCTAACATATGCTTCCTTTTAAACTTAATTAAATATCCCTTTAGATAATAAATCTATGGAACTTTAAATGACATTTTTAAGGTTGGATGTGTAATATACACACACATTCACATATAACGCTATACAAATCCAGGTTGGTTCTTTTGTCTTTGCTGATGCCAGAAGATAAACCACTTGAATGGAGGTGAAAAATGAAACTTTATGAGAGAAATTGCATAAGTTGTCATCTCATTGTCAGAATTAACAAGTGATAAGCATTTTTAATACTATTAATAGAAAAAATAAGTGAGACATTAAACTGATAGATTAGTTAATAATGAAGTATGGATATGTGACAGTTATTTTTCTCCCCTGGTCATTTAGAAATGTGGTTTCCTATAAAACAAATCTTTCATTTATTCCAACCTGAACTAATCCAAAAAATGAAGAATTATGCATTGGCTAAATTACTTCTTCAAAGGAATGCCTAATTTTTTCTTCCTTAGCAAGTGACAGGATTGCATTTAAGTGATATCAATGGTATCATGTCCAACTCAGTCCCAAAATGTTTTTGTATATCCCTACATACTTACGCTGTACTCCTTTACATTTATGGTATAATGCCATCATTTGGAGTATGAATGGAGAAGGTATTTGAGAAAAATGAGTTAGCTCGTTCTCTAATCTATGGAGCTCTTAATACTACCTCTGCAAGGCCAAGTAAATGACTTTAAATTCCACTAAATTTCATAGAAATTGAGCAAATTTAATAATGATAAATGTTAAACACAATTTTATAAAAAAAGTATAAACTTCTTTATGAGTCCATTCTCTATGTACAAATTAAATTCAGTGCATTGCTGTTGTCCAAAAGCAGGTATAATTTTAAAAAATGTTTTTACAATGTGGTAGGTACTAAGAGCATTTGTAAGCATCCTCTATACAGTATATCTTTATGAAAGCCCTGAATAAAGGTGAGTTGACAGTAATGCCAAGAGTATGTGAATAGGCATTTCTAACTTATGGATTATATACTTAGTCCATTTCTATAAACCCATGGTCCCTTTTCTATAGTCATTCAAAGCCCAGCTAACCAATTTGAAATAACTTCAAAAAATACTCCAAAAGAACTAAATGTGTGTACAAAAGACACTAGATGGATGAACCTGGTTATCTCATTGGGCCCTTCAAACCCTGAGGTCCATACTATTTATTACCATTACAAATGTTTCATTAAGTTCTTCCTGATCAGTGCTGGTTTGAAAATTCTATGATTTTACTCACTTGTGTAATCCACAGTGAAGGTCAGCAAAATTCTCAATACTACTGACTAAGAATTTAGAATTATGGTTATCTAAAGAACTTGCTTTGCTTGATCTAAACTAGAAATATTTAAAATTTCAAACAATTATTTGTGATTACAGAAATTTCTCAGATTTCATGCAGTTCTTCTAGAGCTCTATCTGTGGAAGTATAGTTGTGAGTACATTTATACTTAAGCAGAATTACTCATAGGAAATGGTAAGGTCAGCCAAACACAATGGCTCACATCTATAATCCCAGCACTCTGGGAGACCAAGGCCAGAGGATCAGTTGAGCCCAGGAGTTTGAGACCAGCCTCAGCAACATAGTGAGACCCTGTCTGTACAAAAAAAAAAAAAAAAAATTTAAATTAGCAGTCATGTTGGTTCACAGCTGTGGTCCCAGCTACTTGGGAGGCTGAGAGGGAGGATTGCTTGAGCCTAGGAGGTTGAGGCTGCAGCAAGCTGTAATCACACCACTGCCCTCCAGCTTGGGTGACAGAGCAAGATTCTGTCTCAAAAAAAAAATAAAATAAAAAAGGAAATGGTAAGATCAGATTTGATATCCTTGCAAAAGAAGTTCAAAGTTTAAATAGGTTTAAATAGGTTTGTGTTTGGGGTTTTGATCAGAACATACTTTCTATGACCTATAAACAAAATTGTTGCTCTTGAGGTTAGATGAGAATATTTTGTTGCTTTGTAACTCCTTATAATCCTTATTATTCACTCAACAAATATTTGTGCAAAAGCCACTGTGCTAAGTTATGGAAATACAACCATGACAGGGACTATCCTGCCCTCAGAGAAGTTCATAGTTTAATGGGGACAACAGACAAGCTAAATGGGTAATGAAAATGTAGTATTCCTGTGTTAAATGCTAGGAAAGGAGTAAGCCTAGGTATATCATAGGAAAATGTAAGAGAGGCATCTAAGCCATCCTGGGGTGTTGTGGTGAAGAATGGCTTCCTTCAATAGATAGCAACTATGCTAAGTGGAGAGGAGAAAAGAGAGAGGAAGCCCATTCCCAAGGAGTATTCCCTCCATTCCCTTGGAGTATTCTCAAGGAGGGAAAGAATATGTACAGTCACATGCCACATAATGACATTTTGTTTAACTTCAGACCACATATACAATGGTGGTCCCATGAGCCGTCACACCCAGCCTGTTTTTTATCTTTCATAGAATATTTTTACTGTATTTTTTCTATGTTTAGATACGTTTAGACACATGAATACTTACCATTGTGTTATATTTACCTAGAGTATTCAATATAGTAATATACTGTACAGGTTTGTAGTCTAGGAGCATCAGGTTATACCATATAGCCTAGGTGTGTAATAAGTTATAACATCTAGGTTTGTGTATACTATGATGTTCACACTATGACAAAATCACCTAATGATACATTTTGCAGAACATATTCCCATTGTTAAGCAACATATGACTATAGCTCAATATGTATGTATTATTGACTATGAGGTAGAAAACGTGGAGAGATGATATTGGATAAGTAAAGTGGGATCAGACCATGAAGTGTCTGTCCTACATGGAGGACAATAAATAAATTTGAATATTTACTGAAGAGTTAGATTTAAAACTTGAATATTATTTAAATTGGACTAAATGAAAGGGATTTGCAACTAACTCACCACTGCCCTTCTGATCACCAAATTCATATACCTTTCCTACTTCCTCATACCTCTTGACAAAATTGGTACATTTTACCTTCTTTATGATTTTCTCCATGCATCTCTTTCTTTTCTCTGATGTATATCAAGTATATCATTGGCAAAAGCATTGGACTGATATAAATCAGAAGACCTAGATTCATGACTTAGGCTCTGCTTCTTTCTAACGGTGATTTTAGGCAAGTTTTAAGTTTAAATACTCTGGACTTCTGTTTCCTATTTTTTAAATTTGTGGCAATACTTAGGTTCTTACAGGAGTTAAATAAATTAATATATTTGAAAGGACTCTGTAAAACCTTTGATTATGTTAAGGGACACATAGTCTAAAGAGTCCTGACTTAGATCACAAAATGATAAGGCCCTTGAGCATGTAAAAAAAAAAATGTATTCAAGCAGATTGAAGTTAAAATTAAGAAATGTCAACCAAAACACTTAGGTAACAGTTCTAAGAATAACATTGGACCCTTACTTATGAATCTTAGCCCTTATTATCCCATAATTATTCATGAACAAATTTACCCCTGTTATTCTATGAGCTTCTAGAATACAGAATCCTATCAAATTTATCTTTATATCTTCCTACAATGCCTTGCACAAAATAGGTGCTAAATAAATACCTTCAAGGAATGAAACAATGAATTCTTGTAGAGTCAGAATTCGTTCTGGATACAGTTTAATATCTAACATACTTGGATCATTTTGTTTTCTATTTTTCAGTTTTGTGAAGATGTTTAAAAATACTACTACTTCTCTAAAATCTTTTATTTTTCCAACTTTGGAATCTATTAATGAGATATAGCATTTAACTCAGCAAGAAAGGACAGAAGCTTGGTACTGGTCTCATCTACTTGGACAAGGAAAGCTCTAAGAGAAGCTGGTTACAGAGGTTCAGCAGGAGGGGACATTGAGCTGCACAAAGATTATAGTTTACCTGTAATCAAGGGCAGCTATTGTTAGCACAAGATTTAAAAACAAGTAGATAGAGAGTCAGATAATACTTGTGAGTCCACTACAGGTAGGCAGTGGTCAACTTGAAATTCTGTCCAAGAGTAGGAGGGTTCCAATCACCAGCAAGAATAGAGCTTAAGATTGAGTGGCTATTCGACCCAGTGAGTCAGATTATTAGTTCAATAGAGTGAATTGGCTGCATGGGGGAAAATATGAAAGCCCAGTGATAATCACTAGATTTGAAATCACTAGATACCAAGTCCCAGGTTATAATAGTTGGATGGATGGCTCAAGGTGTGTGCTTTCTTAGTGGTCAGTGCAGGGCTACCATTGTCTTAGAATAACTTAGTTAGAAGGATGAAGATGATTGAGATGGCCTAAGTACTTCTCACATCATCAAGATTGATACAGCAGTACTCAACCATCTAGAAAGCCTTTTAAAGTAGCAATGGCTTTTGAAAATGGTGTAGTAGCTCCTATTGGATCAGCCCTCCAGTAGATAACATTTATAAACTCTGAACAAAATATAAAAACAACTATCTGGAGGAATTGAAGAGTGACCAAGTAGGCAGAAATTGCATTGTAATCAGCCCTTGGAAGACCGTAAGAAGAGGATAGCACTGGGTGAGTTTCCACTTTTATAACAGGGCCTACTCAGTTCTTCAAAGAGGATGAAAACTGAGTAGAAATCTGCATTCTTACTTTTTGAAGAATCAAAGGACAGCATTTGGGGCAATGGCTGTAAGTCAGAAGAGATGTTTCAGGCTGGGTGCAGTGGCTCACACCTGTAATCCCAGCACTTTGGGAGGCCAAGGCAGGTGGATCACTTGAGGTAGGGAGTTCGAGACTAGCCTGGCCAACATGGTGAAACCCCGTCTCTACTAAAAATACAAAAAATTAGCTGGGCATGGTGGTGCATGCCTATAATCCCAGCTACTCAGGAGGCTGAGACAGGAGAATCGCTTGAACCCGGGAGGCAGAGGTTGCGGTGAGCCAAGATCATGTCCTTGCACTCCAGCCTGGGAGACAGAGTGAGACTTCATCTCAAAAAAGAAGAAAAATGAAAAACAGAAGAGATTTTCCAGAACAGAGAAATTCATATAAGGGAAGGCCTAACCTCTACATATAAACTGCCAAAATCTCTGACTAACCCCTAACCTAAACATAGATGGGGAAAAATTCAGGCAGCCAAGCTAAGGCTAAAATAACTCATCAGCGATTTAGCTGCTGCCTGCCTATGCAGGAAAAACATAATTTAGAGTTTGGGTTCAGCCAAGGTATCTGCCTGCTAAAACAAAAAATGAATAGTCTTCAGCATAACATAACAGAATCCAGAATCTTTACAACACATCATTTTCAGTGTCTAAGATATTCTCAAATATTGCTAGACATGAGGACAAACAGTAAACTGTGTTCCATACTCATGAGAAAAAGTAACAATGGAGAACAACTATCTTTGTTGTTCCAGATTTTAATGAGCAGACAAGGAATTTAAAGCAGGTCTTTTAACTCTGCTTAAGGATGCAAAGAAAAATATGTTCGTAATGAATAAACAGATAGGATGTCTTGCAGAAAAATAGAAACTCTATAAAAAGAACTAATGGAAATTCTAGAACTGAAAACTACAATATCTAAAGATTCACTAGAAGGGCTTATCAGCAGATTGGAGATGAAGAGTCAGTGAACTTAAAGATAGATCAATAGAAATTAACCAATCTTTAAAAAAAAAAAGAAGCGAATATACTAAGAAAAAAGTGAGTCTCAGTGATTTGTAGGACAATATTGAAAGACCAAACTGTTTGTAATTACAAAGATAGGAGAGAGAGAATGGGGCAGAAAAATAATTAAGAAAATGATGGCCAAAAATTGCCCAAACTTGGTGAAAGACATACATTTAAATATTCAAGAAACGTAATGAACTCCAATAAGATAAATACAAAGAAAATCTTGGCCAGGCATGGTAGCTCATGCCTGTAATCCTGCACTTTGGGAGGCTGAGGCAGGCAGACCACCTGAGGTCAGGAGTTGGAGATCAGCCTGGCTAACATGGTGAAACCCCATCTCTACTAAAAATACAAAATTAGCTGGGCATGGTGGTGCGTGCCTGTAATCCCAGCTACTCGGGAGGCTGAGGCAGGAGAATCACTTGAACCCAGGAGGAGGAGGTTGCAGTGAGCCAGAATCATGCCACTGCACTCCAGCCTGGGCGACAGAGTGAGATGCTGTCTCCGAAAAAAAGAAAATCTCACCTGAAAATACCATAATCAAATTGCTGAAAACCAAAGATGAAGAGAAACTCTTAAAAGCAGCCAAAGGGCTGAACTGAGCTGGTTGCCTTCTGTTACTGTGGGAGAACTCACTTCATCCCAACTTCTTCATACTTTCACTTCTGGAGCTCATATTCCTCTGACATCTTCCAGAAAAACAGTCTTAAAGCCTTAGCCTTTTTTACAGTCCAGCTCTTAAATTTTTTCCTCCCCTTTTTCAATAATAACATGAGTGTGCATCCAGCTTGTCCCCAAAACCTGCCTTGCTCTGAAGCATCCAACTGTAAAGACTCTTTGCCAATGTCTGTGATTTGTGGGCCCAAAACAAACTATCCATCCTTGCATATATCTTCTGCTGAGATGCCTCACACAGAGTCTGGACAGCTCTAATTCTTTCACGAGTCCCAAAGGCAGACAACTCACTTCTGCAGAGAAGAGCACCGCAAAAAAGGAAGACAAAGTCCTGGTCAAGAAACAGATGACCAGAACTGTGTTCTCTTCCACCCAGCTGTGTGTACTCAGTGATAGATTTCAGAGACAGAAATACCTCAGCCTCCAGCAGATGCAAGAACTTTACAGCATCCTGAATCTTAGCTACAAACAGGTTAAGACTTGGTTCCAGAACCAGAGAATAAAATATAAGAGGTGGCAGAAAAACAGCTGCCCAAAGAATAGCAATGGTGTGACTCCAAAGGCCTGAGCACCTACCTACCCCAGCCTCTATTCTTCCTGCCTCCAAGGATGCTTGGCGAACATGTCTGGGAACCTTTCAATGCAGAGCAACCAGACCTGTAGCAGTTCGGCCTGGGGCAACCAGACCTGGAACATCCAGTCCTAGAACAGCCATTCCTGAACACTCAGACCTGGTGCACCCAATCCTGGAACAATCAGGCCTGGAACAATCCCTTCTATAGCTGTGGAGAGGAATCTCTGCAAGTCCTGCATGCGGTTCCAGCAAATTCTTCTCTCAGTGACTTGGAGGCTGCCTTGGAAACTGCTGAAGAAAGCTACAATGGAATACAGCAGACCACTAGGTATTTTAGTACTCCACAAACCATAGATTTATTCCTAAACTATTCCAAGAACATGCAGCCTGAAGATATGTAAAGATGAGTGAAACTGATATTACTCAATTTCAGTCTGGGCACTGGCTGAATCCTTCCTCTCCCCTCCTGCCTCCCTCATAGGATTTTACTTGTTTGGAAGCTACATGTTCTGCCTTCATATCTTTGTTTCCTTTATGCCTATCAAGTCGATTTTGTGGAGGGTGGGGTATGATTGGAGCCAAATCAGAGAGTTTTCTTTTTTTCCTATGGGATCTTTCTGGAGAAAAAAGGTTTTAATAACCTTGGCTGCTAAGGACAACATGATAGAAGCTGTCTCTGGCTATAGATAAGTAGATATAATACTAGTTTGAATATCTTTAGGATTTAGAACCTAGCGTCAAGAATAGGAAGTAAAAGTACAAATTGATGTGGTGAAGGTATAGTCCCATTTTCTGGGATTGGGGGTCTTTGCTTATTTTTATTTTTATTTATTTATTTAGAGACGGAGTCTCGCACTGCTGCCTGGGCTAGAGTGCAGTGGTGCGATCTCAGCTCACTGCAGCCTCCACCTTCCGGGTTGATGTGATTCTCCTGCCTCAGCCTCCCAAGTAGCTAGGATTACAGGCACATACCACCACACCCAGCTATTTTGTTGTATTTTTAATAGACACTGGGTTTCACTATGTTGGCCAGACTGGTCTTGAACTCCTGACCTTGTGATCCGCCCGCCTCAGCCTCCCAAAGTGCTAGGATTACACCATGAGCCACCGTGCCTGGCCTTACTTACTGTTAAAAACCCAATTATTAAGGTGAAGGATTAAGCTGTAACATACTTCACTGATTTCATCAGCCCCTTTGGCTCTGTGTTTTACTATAGCCCCTAATTGGTTGGTTATGCTAATATTTATAGACAGCGGTCTTGTATTTGCTACATCACAATGACATCAGTACTAGTTTGCCTGGTTTAAGTACAAATGAATAAAACAACCATATCACCTTTAAAAAAAAAAAAAAGCAGCCAAAGAAAAAGACATGATGATGCCCTAACCAAGGGAAACCGTGAGGCACTGTGCCATGAGCAACGGTGCATTCCGGTCCAGATACTACGCTTTTCCCACAATCTTTGCAACCCACAGATCAGGAGATTCCCTTGGGTGCCTACACCACCAGGGCCCTGGGTTTCAAGCAAAAAACCGGGCGGCCATTTGGGCAGACACCAAGCTACCTGTGGGAGTTTTTCTTCATACCCCAGTGGTGCCTGGGAATGTCAGCGAGAGAGCACCATTCTCTCCCCTGGAAAGGGGGCTGAAGTCAGGGAGCCAAGTGGTCTAGCTCAGCAGATCCCACTCCCACGGAGCCCAGCAAGCTAAGATCCACTGACTCGAAATTCTTGCTGCCATCACAGCAGTCTGAAGTCGACCTGGGACACTCTAGCTTGGTGGGGGGAGGGGCGTCCCCCATTACTGAGGCTTCAGTAGGCAGTTTTCCCCTCACAGTGTAAACAAAGCCACCAGGAAGCTCAAACTGGGTGGAGCTCACCACAATTCAGCAAAGCTACTGCAGCCAGACTGCCTCTCTAGATTCCTCCTCTCTTGGCAGGGCATCTCTGAAAGAAAGGCAGAAGCCCCAGTCAGGGGCTTATAGATAAAACTCCCATCTGCCTGGGACAGAGCACCTGAGGGAAGGGGCAGCTGTGGATGCATCTTCAGCAGACTTAAATGTTCCTGCCTGCTGGCTCTGAAGAGAGCAGCAGATCTCCCAACACAGCGCTCGAGCTCTGCTAAGGGAAAGACTGCCTCTTCAAGTGGGTCCCTGATTCCGGTGCCTCCTGACTGGGAGACACCTCCCAGCAGGGGCCGACAGACACCTCATACAGGACAGCTCTGGCTTGCATCTGGCAGGTGCCCCTCTGGAACGAAGCTTCCAGAGGAAGGAACAGGCAGCAATCTTTGCTGTTCTGCAGTCTTTGCTGCAGATACCTAGGCAAACAGGGTCTGGAGTGGACTTTCATCAAACTCCAGCAAACCTGTAGAATAGGGGCCTGACTATTAGAAGGAAAACTAACAAAAATAAAAGAATAACATCAACATCAACAAAAAGGATGTGCACACTGAAACCCCATCCAAAGGTCACCAACATAGAAGACCAAAGGTAGATAAATCCATGAAGATGAGGAAAAACCAATGCAAAAAGCCTGAAAATTCCAAAAACCAGAACACCTCTTCTTCTGCAAAGGATCACAACTCCTCACCAGCAAGGGAACAAAACTGGACAGAGAATGAGTTTGATGAATTGACAGAAGTAGGCTTCAGAAGGTGGGCAATAATAAACTCCTCTGAGCTTTTTCTGTAAAGGAGCATGTTCTAACCCAATGCAAGAAAGCTAAGAACCTTGAAAAAAGGTTAGAGGAATTGCTAACTAGAATAACCAGTTTAGAGAAGAACATAAATAACCTGATGGAGCTAAAAAAACACAGCAGGAGAACTTTGTGAAGCACACGCAAGTATCAATAGCTGAATCAATCAAATCGAAGAAAGAATATCAGAGACTGAAGATCAACTTAATGAAATAAAGTGTGAAGACAAGATTAGAGAAAAAAAGAATGAAAAGGAATGCACAAAGACTCCAAGAAATATAGGACTATGTGAAAAGACCAAATCTATGTTTGATTGGTGTACCTGAAAGTGACGGGGAGAATGGAACCAAATTGGAAAACACTCTTCAGGATATTATCCGGGAGAACTTTCCCCACCTAGCAAGAGACCAACATTCAAATTCAGGAAATACTGAGAACACCACTAGGATACTCCTCAAGAAGAGGAACTCCAAGAAACATAATCGTCAGATTCACCAAGAGTGAAATGAAGGGAAAAATGTTAAGGGCAGCCAGAGAGAAAGGTCAGGTTACCCACAAGGGAAGCCCATCAGACTAACGGTGGATCTCTCTACAGAAACCCTACAAGCCAGAAGAGAGTGAGGGTCAATATTCAACATTCTTGAAGAAAAGAATTTTCAACACAGAATTTCATATCCAGCCAAACTAAGCTTCATAAGCGAAGGAGAAATAAAATCCTTTACAGAGAAGCAAATGCAGAGAGATTTTGTCACCACCAGGCCTGGCTTACAAGAGTTCCTGAAGGAGGCACTAACTATGGAAAGGAAAAACTGGTTGCAGCCACTGCAAAAACATACCAAATTGTAAAGACCATCGACACTGTGAAGAAACTGCATCAACGAATAGGCAAAATAACCAGGTAGCATCACAATGACAGGATCAAATTCACAGATAACGATATTAACCTTAAATGTAAATGGTCTAAATGCCCCAATTAAAAGACACAGACTGGCAAATTGGATAAAGAGTCAAGACCCATTGGTGTGCTGTAATTCAGGAGACCCATCTCACGTGCAAAGACACACACAGGCTGAAAATAAAGGGATAGAGGAATATTTACCAAGCAAATGGAAAGCAAAAAAAAAAAGCAGGGGTTGCAATCCTAGTCTCTGATAAAACAGACTTTAAACCAACAAAGATCAAAAAAGACAAACAAGGGCATTACATAATGGTAAAGGAATCAATGCAACAAGAAGAGCTAAATATCCTAAATATATATGCACCCAATACAGAACCACCCAGATTCATAAAGCAAGTTCTCAGAGACCTACAAAGAGACTTAGGCTCCCACACAATAATAATAGGAGACTTGAACACCCCACTGTCAATATTAGAAAGATCAATGCAACAGAAAATTAACAAGAATATTCAGGACTTGAACTCAGCTCTGGACCAAGGAGACCTAATAAACATCTACAGAACTCTCCACCCCATATCAACAGAATATACATTCTTCTCAGTACCACATTGCACTTATTCTAAAATTGACCACATAATTGGAAGTAAAACACTCCTCAGCAAATGCAAAAGAATGGAAATCGTAACAGTCTCTCAGACCACAGTGCAATCAAATTGGAACTCAGGATTAAGAAACTCACTCAGAACCACACAACTACATGGAAACTGAACAACCTGCTCCTGAATGACTACTGGGTAAATAATGAAATTAAGGTAGAAATAAATAAGTTCCTTGAAACCAATAAGAGCAAAGACACAACGTGCTAGAATCTCTGGGACACAGCTAAAGCAGTGTTTAGAGGGAAATTTATAGCACTAAATGCCCACAGGAGAAAGTGGGAAAGATCTAAAATCGACACCCTAACATCACAATTAAAAGAACTAGAGAAGCAAGAGCAAACAAATTCAGAAGACAAGAAATAACTAAGATCAGAGCAGAACTAAAGGAGATAGAGACACGAAAAACCCTTCAAAAAATCAAGAATCCAGGAGCTGGTTTTTTTTTAAAAGATTAACAACAGGTAGACCACCACCCAGACTAATAAAGAAGAAAAGAGAAAAGAATAAAATAGACACAATAAAAAATGATAAAGGGGATATAACCACTGATCCCACAGAAATACAGACTACCATCAGAGAATACCAGAAACACCTCTACGCAAATAAACTAGAAAATCTAGAAGAAATTGGTAAATTCCTGGACACATACACCCTCCTAAGACTAAACCAGGAAGAAGTCGAATCCCTGAATAGACCAATAACAAGTTCTGAAATTGAGGCAGTAATTAATAGCCTAGCAACCTCCAAAAACCCAGGACCAGACAGATTCACAGTTGAATTCTACCAGAGGTACAGAAAGGAGCTGGTACCATTCCTTCTGAAACCATTCCAATCAATAGAAAAAGAGGGACTCCTCCCTACCTCATTTTATGAGGCCAGCATCATCCTGACACCAAAACCTGGCAGAGACACAACAAAAAAAGAAAATTTCAGGCCAATATCCCTGATGAACATTGATGTGAAAATCCTCAATAAAATACTGGCTAACTGAATCCAGCAGCACATCAAAAAGCTTATCCACCATGATCAAGTCAGCTTCACCCCTGGGATGCAAGGCTGGTTCAACATACACAAATCAATAAACATAATCCATCACATAAACAGAACCAATGACAAAACCACATGATTATCTCAATAGATGCAGAAAAGGCCTTCAATAAAATTCAACACCCCTTCATGCTAAAAACTCTCAAAAAACTAGGTAATGATGGAATGTATCTCAAAATAATAAGACCTACTTATGACAAACCCACAGCCAATGTCATACTGAATGGGCAAAAACTGGAAGCATTCCCTTTGAAAACTGGCACATGACAAGGATGCCCTCTCTCACCACTCCTGTATTGGAAGTTCTGGCCAGGGCAATCAGGCAAAAGAAAGAAATAAAGGGTATTCAAATAGGAAGAGAGGAAGCCAAATTGTTTCTGTTTGCAGATGACATGATTGTATATTTAGAAAATCCCATCATCTCAACCCAAAATCTCCTTAAGCTGATAAGCAACTTCAGCAAAGTCTCGGGATACAAAATCAATGTGCAAAACTCCCAAGCATTCCTATACACCAATAATAGACAAACAGCTAAATCATGAGTGAACTCCTATTCACAATTGCTACAAAGAGAATAAAATACCTAGGAATACAACTATCAAGTGATGTGAAAGACCTCTTCAAGGAGAGCTATAAACCACTGCTCAAAGAAATAAGAGATGACACAAACAAATAGAAAAACATTCCATACTCATAGATAGGAAGAATCAATATGATGAAAATGGCCATACTGCCCAAAGCAATTTATAGATTCAGTGCTATCCCCATCAAGCTACCATTGACTTTCTTCACAGAATTAGAAAAAACTACTTTAAATTTCGTATGGAACCAAAAAAGAGCCCATATAGCCAAGACAATCCTAAGCAAAAAGAACAAAGCTGGAGACATCATGCTACCTGACTTCGAACTACACTACAAGCCTACAGTAACCAAAACAGCATGATTCTGGTACCAAAACAGAGATATAGACCAATGGAACAGAATAGAGGCCTCAGAAATAACCCAACACATCTACAACCATCTAATCTTTGACAAACCTGACAAAAACAAGCAATGGGGAAAGGATTCCCTATTTAATAAATGGTGTTGGGAAAATGGCTAGCCATATGCAGAAAACTGAAACTGGACCCCTTCCTTACACCTTATACAAAAATTAACTCAAGATGGATTAAAGACTTAAACGTAAGACCTAAAACCATAAAAACGCTAGAAGAAAACCTAGACAATACCATTCAGGACAGAGGCATGGGCAAAGATTTCATGACTAAAACACCAAAAGCAATGGCAACAAAAGCCAAAATTGACAAGTGGGATCTAATTAAACTAAAGAGCTTTGGCACAGCAAAAGACACTATCAGCAGAGTGAACAGGCAACCTATAAAATGGGAGGAAATGTTTGCAATCTATCCATCTGACAAAGGGCTAATATCCAGAATGTACAAGGAACTTAAACTTACAAGAAAAAAACAACCCCATCAAAAAGTGGGCGAAGTATATAAACAGACACGTCTCAAAAAACAGACACTGTCTTCAAAAGACGACATTATTGCGGCCAACAAACACATGAAAAAAAGCTCATCATCACTAGTCATTAGAGAAATGCAAATTAAAACCACAACGAGATACCACCATCTCATGCCAGTTAGAATGGCGATCATTAAAAAGTCAGGAAACAACAGGTGCTGGAGAGGATGTGGAGAAATAGGAATGCTTTTACACTATTGGTGGAGTGTAAATTAGTTCAACCTTTGTGAAGACAGTGTGGCGATTCCTCAAGGATCTAGAACCAGAAATACTATTTAACCCAGTAATCCCATTACTGGATATATGCCCAAAGGATTATAAATCATTCTACGATAAAGACACATGCACACATATGTTTATTGCAGCACTATTCACAATAAGACTTGGAACCAACCCAAATGCCCATCAGTGATAGACTGGATAAAGAAAATGTGGCACATATACACCATGGAATACTATGCAGCCATAAAAAGGATGAGTTCATGTCCTTTCCAGGGACATGGATTAAACTGGAAACCATCATTCTCAGCAAACTAACACAGGAACAGAAAACCAAACACCGCATGTTCTCACTCATAAATGGGAGTTGAACAATGAGAACACATGGATACAGGGAGGGGAACATCACATACTGGGGCCTGCCGGGGGATGAGGGGTAAGAGGAGGCATAGCATTAGGAGAAATACCTAATGTAGATGACAGGTTGATGGGTGCAACAAACCACCATGGCACGTGTATACCTATGTAACCAACCTGCACGTTCTGCACATGTATCTCAAAATTTAAAGTATAATTAAAAAAAGAAAAGACATGATCCAATATAGTAAAGCATGAATACAGGTGACAACATACTCTTCAGTATCAATAGGCACATGCAGACAGTAAAATAATCGCTTTAAAATGCTGAAAGGAAAAACTGTCAATCTAGAATTCTGTATCTGGTAAAACTATCTTTCCAGAATAAAACTGAAATAAGGACAAACAAAACTAAGATAATTTATCCCAAACAAACCTATATTAAAAGAAATAATGGTCGGGCACAGTGGCTTACGCCTGTAATCCCAGCACTTTGGGAGACTGAGGAGGGCAGATCACCTGAGCTCAGCATTTCAAGACTGCCCTGGGCAACATGGTGAAACCTCGTCTCTACTAAAATACAAAACATTAGCTGGGTGTGGTGATGCGCCTGTAGTCCCAGCTACTCGGGAGGCTGAGGCATGAGAATTGCTTGAGTCCAGGAGGCAGAGGTTGCAGTGAGCCGAGATCGCGCCACTGTACTCCAGCCTGGGCAACAGAGTGAAACTCTGTTTCAGGGAAAAAAAAAAAAAAAAAAAAAAGCACCAGAAAAGATAAATAGGTAGCTAAAGATAAACAATTATTTTTTCTTAATTTCTTTAAAATTAATATTGCTATTTAAAGCAAAAATTATAAAACTATTATGGAATTTATAGTAAATATAGGTATAATACATATATATGATATCTACAGCATAAAGTATGGGGTGGGGATAATGCAACTATACAATTGCAAGGGTCTTGCATTTTGTATAAAGTGATACAACATTAACTCTAAATAGACTTTGTAAAGTTATGGATATGAACTATAATACTTGGAGGAAATACTAAAATAATAATGCAATGAAGTATCGCTTTTTTTAATTCAAGAGAAAAAATTTTAAAGGAATTCTTAAAAATTGCTTGAGTTTCACTTCCCAAGATTCTAATTCAATTGGTCTGAGGTAGAAACCAGACAGTAATGCTTTTTAAAAGCTCCTCACCTGATTCTAATATGTTTAAAATGCCAGTGTTGGGAATGTTTCTAGCAGTGCTAAATCAAAGTTATTGGATGTAGTTGTATAAGAGAGAAGTATATGTTGCATGTAACAGAGAGTATATGTTGCTGGAAAACCATGCAGATCACCAGAGCACTGTTTTACCTCACTGAAAAGCATTAGTTCCTGTGAATCCATAGACCACTTGCTTCGTGTTGATGACAAAGTCCTCACCATTTTGTAAAAAAATGAAGAAAAGATCATTGTAGTATTTAACATATATAGGTTTGTGTAGTATTTAACATATAGGTTTGTGCATGTCTGTGCACCTATAGTCTGTATGTAATAAGTCTGTCTTCCTGTTACTACAGTTCTTGAAAATAGTTGGGTGGCCTTTTGCTACATTGGGAAGACATATTTAGAATAATATGACTTCGTATATAGGCTACATGGTATACAAAAAAATGCATGTGGGGGAAAGTAAGGGGAGCACTCAAAGAGATCTTTCAGAGCATCTCAAGCAGAGATTCAATAAGAGGCCTATTTAAGAGGTCATTGGAAGGGAGATGCCATAATTCTTAAAGACATTGCATGCAGGAAAAAACAGTGATTTTGAATATTTGCCACAAATGGAAAATGACAGGAGTAGATACTCAAGTTACAATTAATTTGTGATCCTTTGCTATAAAGCTATTTCTTACCTGGGCAATTCTGTGTAATGCATGCCATAGATTTATTGATTGTCAGTTATTAATGATTTTCCTCAGGCACGAAAGATGTAAATAGATGTTGGTGAAAAGCTACCAGCTGTCCTTTCAGGAAGGACAGTCCTTTATTTCCTTTTTGAGGGCTTACACTTTTTTATGAAATAATGTTGATAATAGATTTACTTTTTAAAATGAACTTAGATTGCAAAAATGTAAACTTTATACTGTCATCTTTATATTTGTTCCAATAATATTTTTTAATGATTATTATTATTGAGTTAAAATGTGCATACAAGAATGTACAGAAAAATATACAATTAGATATGTGTAATAAATGTACCTACTCACATCACCACCACCACAGTCAGGACATAAAACATTTAGGCAACACCAGAAAGTTCCTTTTTTCCCCACTTTCAACCAGTCACCACCTCCATGGTTAACACCATTATGATTTTTAACACAAAAGATTAGTTTTACCTGTTCTTGAAGTTTTTATAAATAGAATTTTTTTTTTGCTGTCTACAAGAGAAACACTTCATTTTGTATATGCATAGAAATATATATATATATATATATATATATATATATATATATATATTCATTTTAGTAGCTTTTATAGTGCAAGTGGTTTTTGGTTACATGGATGAATTGTGTAGTGGTGAAGTCTAAGATTTTAGTGCACCCATCACCTGAATAGTGTATGTTGTACCCAATATGTAGCTTTTTATTCCTCTGCCCACTCTCACCCTTCCCCTTTCTGAGTCCCCAAAGTACATTATATCACTCTGTATGCCTTTGCATAACCATAGCTTAGCTTCCACTTATAAGTGAGAACATACAGTATTTGATGTTCCATTCCTGAGTTGCTTCACTTAGAATAATGGCCTCCTCCATCCAAGTTGCTACAAGGACATTATTTCTTCCTTTTTATGGCTGAGTAGTATGCCATTGTATATATGTTCCACATTTTCTTCATCTGCTCATCAGTTGATGGGCACTTAGGTTGATTCCATATCTTTGCAACTGTGAATTGTGCTGCAATATACATATGCATGCAGATGTCTTTTTAATGACTTACTTTCCTCGGGGTAAATACCCAGTAGTAGAATTGCTGGATCAAATGGGTCAAATGGTAGATCTACTTTTAGTTCCTTGAGAAATCTTCACGTTGTTTTCCATACAGGTTGTACTAATTTTTTTTTTCTTTGAGATGGAGTTTCACTCCGTCACCCAGGCTGGAGTGCAGTAGCGCAATCTCAGCTCACTGCATCCTTCACCTCCCGGGTTTTAAACAATTCTCTGCCTCAGCCCCCTCAGTAGCTGGGATTACAGGCACCCACCACCACGCCTGGCTAATTTTTTTTGTATTTTTAGTAGAGACGGGGTTTCACCATCTTGGCCAGGCTGATTTTGAACTCCTGACATCATGATCCACCCACCTCAGCCTCCCAAAGTGCTGGGATTACAGGCATGAATGACCAACCGAGCCCAGCCAGGTTGTACTAATTTACATTCCTGCCAGCAGCATATAAAGTGTTCCCCTTTCACCCCATTCATGCCAACATCTCTTGTTTTTTGACTGTTTAATAATGGCTGTTCTGGCTGGGCTATGGTGATATTATCTCATTGTGGTTTTAATTTGCATTTCCTGATGATTAGTGATGTTTAGCATTTTTTCCAGATGTTGGCCATTTGTATATCTTTTTTGAGATGTCTATTCATGTCATTTGCTTACTTTTTAATGGGATTATTTGGGTTTTTTCCTTGCTGATTTGAGTTTCTTGTGGATTCTGGTTATTAGTTCTTTGTCAGATGCATAGCTTAGAAATATGTTCTTCCATTTTGTGGGTTGTCTGTTTACTCTGAAAATTATTTTTTTCACTGAGCAGAAGCTTTTTATTTTTATTAGGTCTCATTTATTTTTGTTTTTGTTAAATTTGCTTTGGGGGGTCTTAGTCATAAATTTTTGCCTAGACTATTGTCTGGAAGAGTTTTCCCTAGGTTTTCTTCAAGAATTTTTATGGTTTCAGGTCTTAGATTTCAGTCATTCATCCATCTTGAGTTGATTTTTGTATATGGTGAGAGATAGGGATCCAGTTTCTTTTTTCTACATGTGCGTATCCAGTTTTCCCAGCATCTTTTATTGAATAGGGTGTTTTTTCCCCAATTTATGTTTTTGTATGCTTTGTCAAAGATCAGTTGTAAGTATTTGACTTTATTTCTGGGTTCTCTATTCTGTTCCATTGGTCTGTACATCTATTTTCATACCAGTACCATGTTGTTTTAATTACTATAGCCTTGTAATATAATTTGAAGGCAGGTAATTGTGATGCCTCCAGATTTGTTCTTTTTGCTGAGGATTGCTTTGGCTGTCCAGACTCTTTTTTGGTTCTATATGAATTTTAGGATTGTTACTTATTCTGTGAAAAATGATGTTGGTATTTTTATCAGAATTACATTGAATCTGTAGATTGCTTTGGGCAGTATGGTCATTTTTACAATACTGATGCTTCCAGTCAATGAGCGTGGGATGTGTTTCCATTTGTTTGTATCATCTATGATTTCTTTTTTTTTTTTTTTTTTTGAGACAAAGTCTCACTCTGTCACCCAGGCTGGAGGGCAGTGGCGTGATCTCAGCTCACCACAACCTCCGCCTCCCAGGTTCAAGCGATTCTCCTGCCTCAGCCTCCTGAGTAGCTGGGATTACAGATGTGTGCCACCACACCCAGCTAATTTTTGTATTTTTAGTACGGATGAGGTTTCACCATGTTGGCCAGGCTGGTCTCAAACTCCTAAGCTCAGGTGATGCACAGCCTCCCAAAGTGCTGGGATTATAGGCGTGAGCCACTGCATCCAGCCTCATCTATGATTTCTTTCAGCAGTGTTTTATAGTTCATCTTGTAGAGATCTTTCATCTTTCTGGTTAAGTATATTCCCAGTTTTTTGTTTTGTTTTGGTGGTGGTGTTGTTTTGCAGCTATTTCAAAAGGGATTTAGTTCATGATTTGATGCTCTGCATGGTCACTGTTGGTGTATAGCAGTGCTACTAATTTGTGTACATTGATTTTGTAACCTGAGATATAATTGGATTCATTTATCAAATCTAGGATTCTTTTGGAGGAGTCTTTAGGGTTTTGTAGGTGTACAATCATATCATTGGCAAAGAGAGATAGTTTGACCTTCTCATTTCCAATTTGGATGTCCTTTCTTTCTTTCTCGTGCTGATTGCTCTGGTTAGGACTTCCAGTACTATGCTGAATAGAAATGATGAAAGTGGGCATCCTTGTCTTGTTCCGGTTCTTCCAGGGAATGCTTTCTAATTTTCCCCATTCATTAAGATATTGGTTGTGGGTTTGTCATATGTGGCTTCCTTCTATACTTAGACGGAACATACCTCAAAATAATAATGTGTTGAGGGTTTTTTTATAAAGAAATGCTAGATTTTATTGAATGCTTTTTCTGTGTCTATTGAGATGATTGTATGTTTTTTATTTTTAATTCCATTTATGTGATGAATCGTACTTATTGACTTGCAAATGTTAAAGCATCCCTGCAGCCCTGGATGAAACCCAGGGTGAATTATCTTTTTGATATGCTGTTGGATTCAGTTTGCTGGTATTTTGCTGAGGGTTTTTGCATCCATGTTCATCAGGGCTATTGGTCTGTAGTTTCTTTCTTTTTTTTTTTTTTTTGTCCGTTAGATCCTTTCCTGGTCTTGGTATCAGGGTGATACTGGCTTTGTAGAATGAGATAGGGAGGATTACCTCTTTCTCAATCTTTTGGAATAGTTTCAGTAATATTGATACCAATTTTTCTTTGAATATCTGGTAGAATTTGGCTGTGAATCCATCTGACCTTGGGCGTTTTTTGTTGTTGTTGTTGGCAATTTTTAAAATTACTGAGTCAATCTCATTGCTTGTTATTGGTTTGTTCAGGATTTCTGTTTCTTCCTAATTGAAGATGGGGGGCTGTGTATTTCCAGGAATTTATCCATTTCCTCTAGATTTCCTACTTTGTGTGCATAGAGGTGTTCACAGTAGTCTCAAATGATCTTTTGTATATCTGTGATGTCTTTTTGTATTTCTGTGTTACAGATATTGCTGTAGTGTCTCCACGTTCATTTCTAATGGAACTTATTTGCATCTTCTTTTTTTTTTTTTTTTTTTTTGGTTAATATAGCTAATGGTCTATCAATCTTGTTTACCTTGTCAAAAACACAGGTTTTTGTTTCATTGGTTCTTTTATATTGTTTATGTTTGTTTGTTTCAATTTCATTTGATTCTGCTCTGATCTTTGTTATTTCTTTTCTTTTGCTAGTTTGGGTTTTTGTTTGTTCTTGTTTCTTTACTTCCTTGAAGTGTGACAATAGGTTGTCAATTTGTGATCTTTCAGACTTTTTGATTTAGGCATTTAGTGCTAAAAACTTTCCTCTTACTACTGCTTTTGCTGTATCTCGGAGGCTTTAATAACTGTGTCACTATTATTCATTTCAAAGAATTTTTTAATTTCCATCTTGATTTCATTGTTAACTCAGAAATAATTCAGGAGAAAATTGTTTAATTTTCATTACTTGTATAATTCTGAGAGGTCCTTTTGGAGTTGATTTCTAGTTTTTCTCCACTATGGTCTGAAAAGATACTTGTTTACCTTATTGATACTTGATTATCTTTGATATGATTTTGAATTTTAAAAATTTAGTGAGACTTATTTTGTTGCCTATCATGTGTTCTATCTTGGAGAATGTTCCATTTGCTGATAAGAAGTATGTGTATTCTTTTTTCTTTTATTTATTTATTTGTTTGTTTTTTTTTAATAGACGGGGGTCTTGCCATGTCGGCCAGGTTGGTCTTGAACTCCTGGTTTCAAGCAATCTGCCTGCCTCACCCTCCCAAAGTGCTAGGATTACAGGCGTGAGCCACTGTGCCCAGCAAAGTATGGGGTAGAATTTTCTGTATTGGTTAGGTCCATTTGTTGTAGAGTGCAGTTTAAGTCCTGTGTTTCTTTGTTGACTTTCTGCCTGGATGATCTGTCTAGTGCTGTCAGTGGAGTGTTGAAGTCCCCCACTATTATTGTGTTTCTGTCCAACTCTGGGAGCTCCAGAGTTAGGTGCATATATATTTAGGATTGTAATATCTTCTTGTTGGATTGATCCTTTTATCACTATATAATGACTTTCTTTGTCTTTTTTTCTTTTAACCATTGTTGCTTTAAAGTCTGTTTTGTTAACATCAGAATAGCTACTCTTGCCTGCTTTTGGTTTCCATTTGCTTGGAATATCTGTTTCCACCC